>NC_000005.10:163640111-163943142 GCF_000001405.40 Homo sapiens
CTGCTGCTTTCACAGATCAGGGGCTCTGGGTTCAAGAAAGAATTCACTTGGTGAATTGCCTATCTACTGATTTTACCGTAAATAGAAGGTAAGAAAGGGCAATAGTTTCTCTCATGAGTAGACGTAATTAAGGGTTGCTAGTGTCCAGGTAGCAAAAGCCCCAGTCCCAAATCAAGGTAGAGTTAGAGCTGCCCTGGGGCGATAGAAACTGGAAGTTCAAAGTCAGCACAGTCAAACTCACATTCTTATCTCTTTTAGGAGGTCTCTCAGTTTTTCCTTTTTGCTCATCTCTGCACATTCACTTCATTTTTCTTTCTTTCTTTCTGGGCTTTTTCTGCTTCTTTATACATGACAGAATATGGTAGCCTCACAGGATCCACCCCAGGTTGCATATTTTCAATCCCAGTGACTGGTCCCAGCCACCAGGTCAGAGTCAGCCTGGAGACCTTCAGGAGTGGGGCCACATTTAAATTAATAGGGAGTGAAGGGGATGAGTGCCGTGGCTCACACCTGTAACTACAGCACTTTGGGAGGCTGAGGCAGGTGGATCACTTGAGGTCAGGAGTTTGAGACCAGCCTGGCCAACATGGTGAAACTCCATCTCTACTAAAAATACAAAAAGTAGCCTGTAATCCCATCTACTCGGGAGGCAGGAGAATTGCTTGAACCCAGGAGGTGGAGGTTGCAGTGAGCCGAGATTGCACCACTGCACTTCAGCCTGGGTGACAGAGCCAGACTCCATCTCAAAAAAAAAAAAAAAAAAAAAAAAAGGGAGTAAAGGGACAGTGACAGTAGGCGGGGTGTGTTTCTTGATTAAAAGTATTTAAATTGACCAATATTTATGATAAAACCAATTACAGCCACAGTCTGCAGGCCAGATATAGTCTGGAGGTTCCCTGTTTAAGATCCCTTAACAAGTTTTTCTTAGACCACTCTCCAAATTCAAGGGACACCTAGCTTCATCCACAGGGCTAGAATTGGGATGATGCAAGGGAAGCTCTTGTCTCAGGGGCAACATTTAAGAGGATCCATGAAAATATCAATAATGTAGATAAATAATGCTTCTATGTAATATTAAAAAATCAAACTAGTGTAAAAATTCCATGATGACAAAATAGAAAATTTTAAAGAAGGCAGGATTATTATTACTGATTTTCCTTTTCCTTCAGGCTCCAATATGGCTTAGCACAGCATGTTTGGCCAGGTGTTGACTTACAGGCCAGTCAGTTGAGGGCAGGGGAGTGAGTCCCATCAATAACCTGAGGGGTCAGTTCTCAGCAGTAGGGACATGGGCCAGGCAGGTACACCACAAAAAATATCTGCTAAAGGATGTGTGTTAGAGCATTATACTTTCTTCTGAAATATGGCCCCTGGATGAGTCAGTTCAGGTTGCCGTAACAAAATATTATAGAATGGGTAGCTGAAACAATAGAAATGTATTTTCTCACAGTTTTGGGGGCTGGAAATCTGAGATCAGGGTGCCAGCATGGTTAAGTTCTAGTGTAGGGTTTCTTCCTAAGCTTCTAGATAGTTGCCTTCTCACCGTATGCTCACATGATCTTTCGTCCATGCGTGGAGAGAAGGAAATAGAGAAAGGGGGAGGGAGGGAGAGGGAGACAGAGAGGGGGAGAGATGGGAGGAGAGAGAAAGAGAGAGTGAGGGCATGAGCAACGAGAGAGCAAACTCTCGGGTGTCTCTGCTTCTAAGGACACACGTCCCATCATGAGGGCTCCACTGTCATGACCTCATCTAACCCTAATTACCTCCCAAAGGCCCCATCTCCAAATATGGTCGCAGTCACCATGAGGTTAGGGCTTCAATATGTGCATTTGGTGGGGGAGTGGGAAACAAACATTCAGTCCATAATGGCCCCCAAAGATTAGAAATACACTTCAAACATTTTTAACTCTTCTTTAATGGTCTTTCTTGGATTTCTCATGTGTAAATTTTTACTTCTCTTTGTTTAAATTTAGTTATCTTTAGACAGTGTTGTCAAAATATAAGCCCAATAAATTTTCAGATTTTGTCATTGACTTCTTATTTCAAGTAAGTTGCCAAAAGAGTAGCTTTTTGTAAAGCTGACTGACTCAAAGATTTAACTAGAACATGAGGCTTGCGTGTTTAACAATTTCTTAAACCCCCAGGACCTGACCAATAATTACGCTTCCAATCCATAAGAAGACAGAAACATTTAGCATATGGTTTTTCTTTCTTGTCTAGAATCAATCAGAATGTGTCACTTTGTAGCTTGCTATGGTCAATCAAAATGTTGTGCCTAGTTCTTCTAAATGTAAACCTCCTAAAGACATTTTTCAGAAAAGACTGTCAAATTATTAAGTGATAGGAATGTTGGTAGAGAAAATAAATTCCTTTAGACATTTTATAGGTACTGAAAAATTAGGAAATGCTTTTATTTTTTTTTACTCTCCTCAAGGGATGTTTTGGTTTTGATTTCAAACACCATATTGGAAAACATTTTAACTGTGAATATAATTCTGAAAACACTTCGAGCCCTGACAATATCTGTCCTGGGCAGCTTCGTATCAAGCTGGCAAAACAGATCCTGAAAAAATAGGGGAGTATTTTTGTTTTCAGAGTGCTTTATATGCAATTCCCCAGAAACAGCTCAAAAAGATAGATACTCTTTTCTAAAAGGTTGCTGGTTTAGCACTTCCCAACTTATAAAGGTTGGAATTTCCCACTGGCTCAGCGGAGAGATTTGTATCAGTTATTTTAGACTCACTTAATAGCACATTTGTGTTTGAGATGAAGCGTGAGTCCCACCAGACAAAGTAAGATTGTTCTTAAAAATTGGCCTCCTTCTCCCTCCCACCCATGTATACTCAGATCTAAAGTTGCATCTTCTAAATGTTATTCCACAGCTAGATATGACATCCCATCTTAAACCAGCAGCAGTAACTTCTGTTTCTCTTTGTAGAGAACATGACTGGATGTACAGCACACAGCTTTGTGAAGGCTGGAGTTTTTCAGTTCCTTAAGCGAAGCCCTCGCTATAGTTCCCCCCACCTTCGTGCTCATGTGGTAGTGTAGATCAGAGTGAGGGTGAAGAAAGCTGGTGATACTTGGAAAAGTACCATGAAGGCTTATACAAAACACGGACAGTGACATTTGCCTCACCACCAGTGGTGATTTCAGGGCATTCAGTGCATTTTATTTTCATTTTTGCAGGGACATTCATCATGCTCTATCTTGCTTAGTTCTTCCCTACTAAGCTTCCATACTCCTTGAAGGCCGGGCTTCCTTGCAACATTTTGTCCTTCACCACCCCTGGTACTGCATGTGAAGGTCACTGAGAAGTGTGCTGAATGCTTGAAATGCTGAGTGTGTTTGAATTGATCAAAAGTTCACTTAGGGGAAGGGAAGACTATTATTTACTGAGTGTTTATGCCAAACATTTGACATAAATGCATTTTTCCTGTGAATCCTCACAATAGTCTTATGAGAAAGACAAAATTATTCCCATTTTGCCAAAAATGGAGAAACTGAGGCTTTAAATAGTAAATTGCTCTGCATCAGTGGAGTCAGCTGGACCCAGGGTTCTAAACAAGTCTATCTGGTCTGAAGCTGATGTCATCAGACTGGGCTGCATCTGTAATTAGAACCAAGGTCCCAGATTCAGGTGCCTGTGGGGCGCAGAATACAGGGAAGGAGCCATAGGAGGACTGGGGTGAAGGAGAACCCCTTCCTACAGACCTTGTCCAAAGTGGGAGGCCTCTTAGTTTCAGCCAACTTTACAACATTAAGAGAGAGAGGGAGAGAGGGAGAGGGAGAGAGAGAGGGAGAGAGGGTGAGGGAGAGAGAGAAAGAGAGAGAGAGAGAGAGAGAGAGAGAATCCATAGATTTGCATTTTTTAGGGATTTTTCAAAGTCTTCCAATTTTTATATTTTAGCAACGAATTTGATAATAATGCCTGTAAAAGTTAAAAACAGTTCAGTGGGCCAGATTGAGGCTGCAATCTGAAAGTTTTTAGCTGTTATATTAAAGAATAGTTTTAAAGAATTGCAACTGTTTCCCTCAAGTAGGCACAATCGTCCTTTGGTATCTGATGGGGGTTGGTCCATGGATGCTCAAGGCCCTTATATAAAATGGCATAATTGCGTATAACATGCACACATTCTCTCATATACTCTAGATTGCTTATAATACCTACTACAATGTAAATGCTATGAGGTAGTGGTTATACTGTATTCTTTTAATTTGTTTTTTTCTTTTCTACATCCCCGAGAAACAGATGTTTTAAAATTTGTATTCTTCTTCTTCTTCTTTTTTTTTTTTTTTTAAGGACTTTTCATCCATGGCTGGTTGAATCCGCAGATGCGGAACCCGTGGATACAGAGGGCTGACTGGATTGTAACCCTGACTGATGTAACGTGCTACTAGCCCAGGAGAACTTAGAGAACTAACTGTAATTACTAGTTTGCTGTTTTATTAGTATATGAAATATTTATGGATAATACTTTCATAAGAAGCGCTTTCGTATCTACTCGATGTGGAGTGAGGACAGTGAATGCACCTGCTTACTTGTTTTACTTACCCTACTTGATGTGACGTTCTGACTTGAAACGTCATGAAAAACAGCACAGTTATTTATTTATTTATTTATTTATTTGAGACAGAGTCTCGCTCTGTCGCCCAGGCTGGAGTGCAGTGGCGCGATCTCTCGGCTCACTGCAACCTCTGCCTCCCGGGTTCCAGCGATTCTCCTCCCTCAGCCTCCTGAGTAGCTGGGACTACAGGCACGTGCCACCATGCCCGGCTAATTTTTTGTATTTTTAGTAGAGATGGGGCTTCACTGTGTTAGCCAGATGGTCTCGATCTCCTAACCTCGTGATCCGCCCGCCTTGGCCTCCCAAAGCACAGTCATTTATTAAGCAGTGAACTGATGCTGCATCCTGAACTGTATACAGTGTTTCATACAAGCATATGCACTCTCGTAGTGATAGTGACAGGAGGCAGCCAAATGCCTAGGCAGATGGGGCAGGTCCCCAGGGAAACTCCACCTCCAAGCTGAAGACAGTTTAAAGCCTGAAAGCCAAGCTACAAGTTAAATTATCAGACCCGATTGAGAACTTGTCTTCCTGTTTTGCATGCTTTCCTCTGATTGGTCCCCACTTTTCACCTATTTTACATAAACGTACCCTTTTCTAATTGGTTTTCTACACTGTCATGCGCGCCTTTGAGCAGTGTTTTTACTTTAACCTTTTTTGTATACTCACAAACCAATCAGCATGCACTCCCCATTCTGAATCCGTAAAAGGCCCCGGACCCAGCCACATGGGAGAACTTTCCTGCTTTCTAGTATGGGAACCAACTGTATATCCCCTCCACTGAAAGCTATTTATATTGTTCAATAAAATTCTTCTCCGCTCTCCTCACCCTTCAATGTCCAACATATCCTCATTCTTCTTGATCACAGTATAAGAGCTCAGGAACTGCTAAACGTGGGTACAAGCTATAACACAGGCAAGCTGGGGCAAGCCAGTGTGGCTGTGTGAGGTCTGGGTGGGGCGTCACCAGCCAGGGTTCCCCAGATTGCAAAGTGACTGAGAAGAAAAATCCTACATCAACAGGACAGTATGAATGACATGCATATGTAACCACATGTAGTTTTGGCATTAATTACTAGTTGCTCATTACGAGATGTTGATGATGCCCCTTGTCAGAGGCAGACAGGGTGGTTAGTCTCTTGTTCTTGATCTTGGTCCTTTTTATCTATTGTTATCCTGGCTCAGGTCATCAGCCTGTATTGTCATCCTCTTCACTGTCCCAGAGTGTGCCAGTCTCTCTTTTGACATATGTGTTGATATGATAATCACAGCAAAGTGTGTCTCTTAGCTCCATCTCCTGACATTTGCATCTGCACAGAGTTCAACTGAATTACTATTGCTTTAGCAATTTCTGTTCCTAACAGCTATTTCGGGAAGCAATATAGTGAGGTGATGCCCTTCACTGTCAATGTTTGAATGCCTGTGAATATCCCCATTCAGTACTCCCTTGGTAAGATGACTTTGATGAGCTTCCATGATTTCTATGTAGAAAAAAGAATACCTTCTAAGATGTTGCTAAGGTTCAAATGTCTATTCTTCAATGATTGTCCCCTGCATTTCATTGTAAATATGTCTACTTCCCTACTGCAAGGATATAACCTGTCCCTGGATTTTTCAGATTTCCCTGCCTTTTTAAAGTGGTATCTTGTCCTTTCTTCTGCTTTTGCCCTGTTTCCTCTCTTTTTTCCTCCCTATTTTGTCATCCCAGAGAAACCACTTTTAATTATTTTTAACTTATAATTTGGGAATTTAACATCATGTCTGTAAATAACATGCTTTTATTGCTACCACTTGATTTTTCAATTACAGGTGTTGTTTCTGAAACTTCACATATGGAAGGTAAAGATTTAGCTCCATTTCTTTCCTGATTCCTGCCATAAAATGACCACCTTTCCATCTCCCATTTTTTTCTAATAGAATTAGTTGAAATTTGTTAGATTGGTATTCTATATTCAATGTCTGTATTATTATGGCTTCATAAGCACTATAAACAATCAAGCCAAGACATGCACTAAGGGACTCTCCTTCCCCCAACTTGGGGTTAATAATTGTCATATTTTTCCTGTTGTTTAGTTTTTTAATGTACTTACTTAGTTGAACCTGAAACATTCCAATAATTATCTCAGTCTGTTTTTAGTATATTCAGATATGTCAGGTAGTATAAATGTTACCTTTTTGGAGCAATTTCTCTTAGAGTCATCTGACCTGCTATTTTTTTTTTCTTTCTTTTTTTTTTTTGAGATTGAGTCTCACTCTGTTGCCCAGGCTGGAGTGCAGTGGCACAATGTTGGCTCACTGCAAACTCCACCTCCTGGGTTCAAGCGATTCTCCTGTCTTAGCCTCCCAAGCAGTTAGGACTACAGGCAGGAGCCACCATGCCCAGCTAATTTTTTTGTATTTTTAGTAGAGACAGGGTTTCACCATGGTGACCAGGCTGATCTTGAACTCCTGACCTCAGGTGATTCACCTGCCTCAGCCTCCCAAAATGCTAGGGTTACAGGCTTGGGCCGCTGCACCTGGCCTGACCTGCTATAATCTTGATCATCTGTACTTCATGTCTACTGCACAACAGTCTTCCTATGATCTTCCTTTAATATTATCCTGGTGATTCCTTTAGTCTCTTCCCTGTTTCATTCAGAACCACACCTTCTTTTTTCTTGGTTTACAGCCCTCTTTGGAGGGGCACATGTGCTGGTAGTGTCCAGTGAAAGGGTGCATGGGAGATCAATATTTTGAGACATTACATAATTTTAAACATTTCTAATCTTTCTTCACACTGAATTGATAAGTAGCTGCTGATAATTTACCTTCAGAATTTTAAAATTATTACCTCATTGTCTTTTGGGTTCCAGAGTTGTTGTTGAGAAGTCTCAGTCCATTCTCCTTCCTGGTCTTTTGCATGTCACTTCTACTTTTAACCCCTTTGGAAACTTATAGAATATTATTTTTTTTTATTGTCCCAAAATTTCACATTGACGTGCTTTGGTATACATTTACTTTCATCCATTTTGCTGGTTACTCAATATGCCTTTTAAATTTGATTTCTTTTATCCTTCAGTTCTGGAAATTTTCTTGAATAATAATAATAGTTATTCTTTGAATGTTTCATTAACCTCCATTTCCTCTGCTCTCTATCCTATTCAGAAGTTAGACCTCTTAGACTGCTCTTCTAATTTTCTTATCTTTGCTTTCCTGTTTTTAATTTGTGTCTTTATGTTCTGACTTTCTGAAAAGTCCCTCTCTTGCCCTTCCTCCTTTTCCATTTTTTTCTTTCTTGAAGTTGATCACTACTACATGTGAAAGGGGTTTACCAAGAAAAAACTAGAATGAAGGATGTTGATTTGGGGAAGGCTATACTTTTTTAGAAATGAATTTATTGAGATGTAATTAATACCACAAATTTCATCCTTTTAATGTATACAATTTAGTGGTTTTAAGTATATTCATAATATTATACAACCATCACTAGCATCAAATTTTGGAACATTTCCATCACCCTACACCCCAATAAGAAAACCCATATTCATCAGCAGTCACACCCATTCCCTCCTTGCCCTCCCTCCTGAAAACCAATCATCAACTTTCTATTTCTATGGATTTTCCTATTTGACATTTCATATAAATGCAATCATACAATATGTGGTTTATGTCACCGACTTTTTAACTTAGCATTATGTTTTCCAAGTGTATTTATTTTGTAGCATGTGTCAGTAATTTTTATAGTGGAGTTATAGTCCATTGTATGAATATGCTATTACCTGTTTATCCATTCATTTGTTAATGGAAATTTAGGTTATTTACAGTTTCTGGCTATTATGAATAATGCTAGTAAATGCTAGTATAAACTTTCATATACAAGTTTTTGTGTGGCTATACATTTTTCAGTTCTCTTGGGTAGGAGTGAAATTGCTAGGGTCATATGTAATTCTATGTTTAACTTTTTTTTTTTTTTTTTTGAGACGGGGTCTCGCTCTGTTGCCCAGGCTGTAGTGCAGTGGTGTGATCATAGCTCATTGCAACCTCAAACTCCCGGGCTCAAACAATTTTCCTGCCTAGGCTTCCCAAAATGCTGGGATTACAGGTGTGAGCTGTGATGTCTTGCCACTGTTTAACTTTTTGAGGAACTACCAAACTATTTTCCAAAGCACCTGCGCACATTTACAATCCCACAAAAACGTTAAGGGTTCCCATTTCTTCAGATCTTTATCAACATTTGTTATTTTTCATCAAAGTCACCTTATTGGGCATAAAGTCGTATCTCACTGTAGTTTTGATTTTCATTTCCCTGATGACTAACGATTTTGAGCATCTTTTTATGTGCTTATTGGTCATTTTTGTATCTTCTTTGGATAAATATCTAATCAATCTTTACACATTTTAAAATTAGATTGTCATTATTGAGTCATAAGAGTTCTTTATGTATTCTACATAGAAATCCCTTATTAGATTTATTATTTGCAAATATTTTCTCATTCCATGTGTTGTCTTTTTACTTTCCTAATGATGTTCTTTGAAGCACAAAATATTTTCTGATAAAATCTAATTCATATATTTTCTTTTGTTACTTGTCATTGGTGTCATATCTAAGTAGCCATTGTCATTTGGATTTAATCCTACAGATTCATCTAAGGGTTTTATAATTTTAGTTCTTACATTTAGGTTGTTGATCAATTTTGATTTAATTTTTATACATGGGATCAAGTAGAGGTCCAACTTCATTCTTTTGCGTATAGATATCCAGTTATTCCAACATCATTTGTTGAGAAATCTGTTCTTTCCTAAGGAACTGTCTTGGCATCTTTGTAGAAAATCAATTGATCATACATGTAAGGGCTAGTTTCTACATTGTCAATTCTATTTCACTGACCTATATGTTTAACTGTTTTGAGAACCTCCAGATAAACCTGGGTTTCAGTACCAGAGTAGCTAGCAACGATGCCCCAGTGGGAAATGAAGGGGAGCTGGACATGGGTATATACGGTATGCCTTTCACTGGATACTTCTTTTACCTGGCAGATGGACTAATGCCTAGTTGCACAATTCATGACCATATGGTTTCTCACATGGAAAATTTGTTTATATTGGCAGATGCCCTGTGGCTCTTGTCTGACTCATATCCTGTTTATGCCTTCCTGGGAGCCTGACCTTGTGTTCCAACAAGGGTCCCAGAGAAGAGCTGGCCCAGGGTAGCCTCTATAATTCTTCAAATGGAAGGTGCAAATTCATTGCACTACCACAATATGAAATAAATTCAAATATTTTTACTTACAAATCCTGGGCAGGGAGGGTATAATGAGACAGAAAGGTAGTCCTTCATTCTGGCCCATGCAAGACAGGAATGAAGAGGCAGGCAGAGAGAGAAAGAGAGTGAGCATAGCAAATAGCAGTATACATAAAAGAATAGAATGTGAGTTACTTTAAGTTTGCGGGCAAATGCCTGAATGATCCCTTTAAAGGAAGCTGGGGGAAAGCAGGGAGCCCTGTTAGCTAGGCAGGAGAGATGCCTTTAAGTTCTTGTGTCTGGCTACCTGCTTGATCCACTTGGATGTGGTGATTTGGGTGTGGTGTTTTACTTCTAATGCCTAGGTGAAATCAAATTGGAAATTAAAAAAATATTTGAAATGAATGATAATAGTGACATAAGTTATCAAAACCTCTGGGATACAGCAAAAGCAGTGCTAAGAGGAAGGTTCATAGCATTAAATGCCTGTATCCAAATGCACTTTAGAATCAGCTTTTCATATTTGCTAAAAAAAGAATGCTCAAATATTGATAGGGAGTGTGTTGAGCCTATAGATAAATTTAGTGAGTTGCCATCTAACAATATTTAGTCTTTGAATTGATGAACATGGGATGTCTCTCAATTTAATTAGGTATTCTTTAATTTATTTCAACAATGTATCATAGTTTTCCACATACAAATCTTACAATTCTTTTTAATTTTTAATTATTTTTTTTTTTTGGAGGCAGGGTCTCACTCTGTCACCCAGGCTGGAGTACAGTGGCACGATCATGACTCACTGCAGCCTCAACCTCCTGGGCTCAAGTGATCTTCCCACCGCAGCCCCCTGAGTAGCTGGGACTACAGGCACGTGCCACCACTACTGGCTAATTTTTCTTTTTTTTTTTTTTTTTTTGGTAGAGACGGGGTTTTGCCATCTTGCCCAGGCTGGTCTTGAATTCCTGAGCTCCAGTGATCATCCCTCCTTGGCCTTCCAAAGTGTTGGGATTACAGGTGTGAGCCACTGTGCCGGGCCTACAATTCTATCGTTAATTTTATCTTAGGTATTTTATTCCTTATGATGCTATTGGAAATGGAATTGTTTTCTTAATTTTATTTTTAGAATGTTTATTGCTGGAGTCTTGTAACCTTGCTGAGCTCATTTATTAGATTTAATAGTTTTTAGTGGATTTCTTAGGATTTTCCATATATACAAGATCATTTCATCTGAGAATGGAGATAGTTTTAATTCTTCCTTTCTAATCTGGATACCTTTTTCTTCTTTTTCTTGCCGAACTTGAGTTAGACCCTCCAGCACAGTGTTGAATAGAAGTGCTAAGAGTGGACATCCTTGTCATATTTCTTTTTCTTTTTTTTTTCTTTTCTTTTGTTTTTTTGTTTTTGTTTTTTGTTTTTTTTTGAGACAGGACCTTGCTCTGTCACGAAGGCTGAAGTGGCACGATCTCAGCTCACTGCAACCCCTACTTCCTGGGTTCAAGCGATTCTTGTGCCTCAGCCTCCCAGGTACCTGTGATTACAGGTATAAGCCACCATGCCCTACTAATTTTTTGTATTTTTAGCTTTTTAGTATTTTTAGTAGAGATGGGTGTTTTGCCATTTTGCCCAGGCTGGTCTCGAATCTTGGCCTCAAGTGATCCACCTACCTCGGCCCCCTAAAGTGCTAGGATTACAGGTGTGAGCCACTGTGTCCAGGACTCCTTGTCATATTTCTGATCTTAGGCAGAAATCATTCAAGTCTTTCACCACTAAGTACGATGTTGTCAGTTTTTCATAGATGACCTTTATCAGGGTGATGAAGTTTCCTTTTACTCCTAGATTGTTAAGTGTTTTCATTATGAAGCAATGTTGGATATTGTCTAATTTTTTGGCATCTGAGATGGCCATGTTATTTTTATCATTTATTCTACTGATTTGGTATATTACATTGATTTTTCTATGTTGAACTGACCTTGCTTTCTTGACATAAATACCACTGGTTTGTGGTGTACAATTCTCTTTATATGTTGCTAGATTGAGTTTGCTGGTATTTTTTGCATCTGTATAAAATAATTATTGGTCCATAGTTTTTTTTTTCCTGGTGCTGTCTTCTGGTTTCATATAAGAGTAATACTGGCCTCATAGAATAAGTTTTAAAATTTTTCCTACTTTTATATTTTTTGGAAGTTTATGAAGGCTTGATGTTAATTCTATGTTAAGTGGTAGAATTTACCAGTGAAAACATCTGAGCCTGAGATTTTCAATGTGAGAAGTTTTTTGATCATTAATTCAATCTCATTACTTTCTTGGGTGTTCGTATTTTCTGTTTGTTCTTAAGTCAGCATTGGTAGTTTGTATTTTACTAAGCATTTGTCCATTTCATTTAGGTCATCTAATTTGCTGGCATATACTTATTCTTACTACGCCTTTATAACCCTTTTTATTTCTCTTATGTTAGTGATAGTGTCTCCTATTTCATTCCAAATGTTAGTCATTTGATCATTCTCTTTTTTTCTCCCTGTTGGGCAATGTAGCTAAAGGTTTGCTAATTTTGTTAATCTTTTCAGAGACTCAACTTTGGATTTAATTCCTTTTTCTCTGTTGTCTTCTATTATATGTTTCATTTGTTCCCACTCTATTCTTTATTATTTCCTCTAAGCACTGCTTTAGCTGCCTCCCATCAATTGTAGTATGTTTTGTTTTTGTTTGCATTCCCGTCAGCATATTTTCTAATTTTTCCTGTGATTTCTTCTTTGACCCATTGGTTATTTAGGGCTCTGTTGTGTAACTTCCACATGCTCGTGAATTTCCCAAATGTCTCTCTATTAATGATTTATAATTTCATTTTATTGTGACTGGAGAACATATTTTGTATGATATAAATCTTATGTATATTGAAACTTGTTTTATGTCCTAGGATATGTCGATTCTGGAGAATGTTCCATATGCATTTGATAAGAATGTATGTTTTTCTGTTATTGGTTGGAGCATTCTATAGATTTTAGCTAGGTCTAGTTGGTTTATAGGGTTGTTCAGTGCTTTTATTTCTTTGTTGATCTTTTGTTTAGTAGTTCTACCTATTATTGAAGGTGGGATTTTGAAATCTCCAATTATATTTTGAGTTGTATATTTCTCCCTTTAATTATGTCAGTTTTTACTACATTTATTTTGCAGTTTTGTTGTTAGCTTAGTATATGTTTATAATTACTGTGTATTCCTGACTGACCCTTTTAACATTATAAAATATCTTTCTCTGTCTCTAATAACAATTTTGTTTTAAAGTTGATTTTGTGTGATATAAATTTAGCCACTCCAGCTTCTTTTGGTTATTGTTTGTGTTGTATGTCTTTTAGTGTTATTTTACTTTCCACCTATGTCTTTGAATCAAAAGTGTGTCTCTTACAGACAGGAGAGAGTTAAATAATTTTTTGTTTGTTTTTTTTGTTACTGTTGCTTTTAAGTTATTTATTTACTATTTTTAAATTAATACATATTAAATGTACATATTTTGGGGATACATTTGATAATTTGGTACATTCAGATAATAATATCAGGGTAATTGGGATATCCATCACTTTAAATATTTATCTGTCTTTTTTTTACTCTAGGAACATTTAAATTGTTCTCTTCTAACTATTTGGAAATGTGTAATTGATTAATGTTAACTATAATCACTCTCTAAGCTATCAAATACCAGGTTGTATTTCTTTTACTTAAGTATATATTTGTACCTATCAATCAACCTCTCTTTACCTACCCTTTCCCCTACTGTTCCCAGCCTCTGGTTATTGCCAGTCTTCTCTATCTTCATGAGATCTACTTTTCATCTGTCGCTCTGTCTTTTGATTGGAGTATTTAATCCATTTACATTTAATGCAATTACTGCTAAGTAGAATTACATTTCATGCAATTACTCCTAAGCAGGAATTAAGTCTGCAAGTTTGTTATTTATATCCATATGTCTTTTGCCCTTTCTGTTTCTCTATTTCTCCATTACTGTTATCTTTGTATTAATTAGATATTTTCTAATATGCCATTTGAAGTCCATAAGACTGCTGGTTTCCACAGCTCCTCTGATTTTTATACTGTTGGTTCTCAAGGCTACTGTAGAGCTAGACAGTGATGGGAATAGGCCAAGACAGAACACCACAAACCTCATTGTCCTTATGAGATTCAGATGTTTTCCTTGAATAATCACTTCTTGGATTGCTTTATGCCATTAGTTAATTTCAGATTTATGAATAAGTTGATTTTGACAATTTTTGCTGGTGTTCCTATTGCTTTTAAGGAAGAGTAGATTTTCAAATGTCCATTGTCCACCATTCCAGAGGTGCTCTGGGAATTCCTTGAAATCAACTTTCCATTCTTTCTTTTGACTCTATTTATTATCTGAGTATTACTTTTTGGAAAAATAAATTTCTGTTCTTGTTTTCCACACCAAATAGCCAGGATATTTTATTTCTCTGCAGATATTAAAAGTTAAAATATTTTTTCCCCTGTAGTCTCCATTTCCTCTTATTTGCTTCAGCCTCTTTGTTTTGCCTCTCTATGTTAGAATTTTATCCATACAAAATGGCATCTGTAGTAGCAACCACTTATTGAAGAGTTACTGTGTGCCTCCTCACTGACTCTACTAAGTGCGTTTTACATATTAACTTATTTCATCTTCACATTAGCTCTTAGAGGTCACTGCTATAATTTCCCCAATTTTTTTAAATAATAGAGCTGAGGCCGGGCGCGGTGGCTCACGCCTGTAATCCCAGCACTTTGGGAGGCCGAGGCGGGTGGATCATGAGGTCAGGAGATCGAGACCATCCTGGCTAACAAGGTGAAACCCCGTCTCTACTAAAAATACAAAAAATTAGCCGGGCGCGGTGGCGGGCGCCTGTAGTCCCAGCTACTCGGGAGGCTGAGGCAGGAGAATGGCGTGAACCCGGGAAGCGGAGCTTGCAGTGAGCCGAGATTGCGCCACTGCAGTCCGCAGTCCGGCCTGGGCGACAGAGCGAGACTCCGTCTCAAAAAAAAAAAAAAAAAAAAAAAAAAAAATAATAGAGCTGAGACATAAGAAATTACTCGTCTAAAGTTATATGGCATTAAATTGCAGAGTTGAAATTCAGGTCCAATCTGACACCTATATCCTCTTTATCAGATATCAGCTCATCCTTGGGTTATATGCTTACATTTACCAGTGGGATTTAAATACTTTGAGCATATGGGTGGGCCTTGTTGACAGTTGGGTGTCTGGTGCAATCTGTAGGGTAAATGTGCTTCTTGACTTTTCTTATTGCTATTTGGAATTAAACTTATTCTTTTCTGCTAGTCAATTATCACTTGTCTATCAGCTCTTCATCCTCCAAATTTTATTTGTTTATGTTCTCTTTTTCTTGCATTTGTGAATTTATGCCTTGGGAGAGAAAGGTTTACTATCATTTTAATAGGCCTTTGGAAAGAATTAGAATTATATGCATGTTTTCAATACATTGCCTTTTTAATTATTTTAAGCATACTTAAAAAATAATCTCTGGCTGTTTCATTATCTGAAGTTCTTGGGGGTCTATCCTTCTGTTTATTTTATCTGCTGATTTATCAGAATACTAGATTTTCCTTTTGAGCTCTATAATTTTATCTTGCACGAGCATCCTCAGTGGGGCTTTATCCATGGGATTCCTGTGTGGTTTGGGCTGAGTCTTTCTCCATCTAGATAAGTTTCTCATTTTCTTTTGCCAGGTGCTCCAGGACCACTTTTTATGTTAATTTCTTGCCTCAGGAATATGGGACTTTGCAAGGACAGAATACAATAAAACCCAAACTCATGAGAAGGAAGTCTTCTGGCTAAAAATTTTCAGGGGAGGTTTTTCCTCACTACGCATGCCTGGAATGTGGAACCAGACCAGCCTCCTTTTTACCTCCCTGTTCCAGTGGGCATCTGAAAAACCATTTCACTGAGAATGCAGCCTTCTCAGGGGCCTGAATTAAGGATGAGGGTCTCATTTTCAAAACTCTGTTGCTCATAGATTCAAGGTCTTATCTCCTATGTGTGCAGCTATTAAAGAGAAGCCCCTGGGCTGACTAAGACCAGACTAACCCCTTTCCCAGGCACCAAACCGGGGTGATGTGGCACATCTGTCTGAGTCCCTTCCATATTCATTTTTGACCCCTAGGGATCTTCATTATTTTCTTGTGAGCTCAGATACACATTTAAAATAATCCTTGTGATATTTTAAACAGAGTATCTGTGTGTTTTATGGCAAGATAATTTTTACGTTATCTGATTTATTTGCTTGATGTCCTAAAATTAACCTTTTTTGAATTATTTTGTGTATACTCAATGGATCTTATCCTTACATTGAAAGTATGTATACTTTTTCTTTTATGGCTGCTCAATCAGAGAATGTATTTTTAAGGCCATCTAATGGGATTTAGGACCAGGTCAATAGAGGTCAATGAAGGTCGTAATCGTTTCTTTGTGTTCTGTGCTGGCTAGCCTAACTGGAACACGGCATTTTGTTCTGGATGCTGTGTTTTCCAGAATATTAATAGACATTTGGTATGTTATGACAGGGAGTTAGGATGGTGAGGCATCAGGATATTATGTCAGTTGAAGAATGGTTTAAAACACTGAGAAATTGACCTTGGAGAAGAAAAAAACATTAGAGGATGTGATAAAATCTTTCGTGGAAGACCAGTTAGATTTATTCTTTGTGTCTTTAGAAGGCTTCACAACAGATGGAAGTTACAGAAGAAGACCAATTTGGGATTGATAGCAGGAAAACCTCTTTCTAAATACAGGCATCTGCACATAAAAAGATAGCCCACCCTACAGGTAGGTGATGACTTTGTCCTTTCCCCGTCATCTGCAGGACAAACATAGACAGATATTATCTTATCTATAGTTCTTAAGATCACAGACTTTGGAATCAGATTACTTGGGTTCGAACGCTAGTTTTACCAGGTATTAGTTGTATGACCGTGGGAAGTTATTTAACCTCTCTGAGCCTCTGTTTGTCTATATGCAAAGTGATGTACTCACAGTAACCTAGGTCATGGGGTCACTGTAAAATTTAAATGGGGTAATACACGTAAAGCTGTTATAATATTGTACAGCATATGGTAAGCCCTGAAAAAGTGTTTACCAATATTATTATCATTATCATCTGTCAAGGATGTAAAAGAATGTGTAGAATCAAAATCTCACAGAACACTGGAGTTGTGAGTGACTGCATGAGTTTCCCTATAGCTGCTGTAACAAATGATCCCAAACTTGGTGGCTTAAAACAACAGCAATGTCTCTTGACCTCATGATCTGCCTGCCCTGGCCTCCCAAGAGCTGGGATTATAGGCATGAGCCTCTGAACCCTGCCTGGCCAACATGGTGAAACCTGTCTCTACTAAAAATACAAAAATTAGCTGGGTGTGGTGGCATGTGCCTGTAGTCCCAGCTACTTGGGGGGCTGAGGCAGCAGACTCACTTGAACCCAGGAGGCAGAGGTTGCAGTGAGCTAAGATCGCACCACTGCAGTCCAGCCTGGCGACAGAGCAAGACTCCATCTCAAACAACAACAACAACAACAGCAACAACAACAACAACAACAGTGATGTATCCTCTCACAATGCTGGAGGCCAGAAGTCTGATATGAGTTTTGAAGGGTCAAAATCAACATGTCAGCTGGGCCGTGTTTCCTCTGGAGGCTGTGGGAAAATCTTTCTTGCCTTTTCCAGCTTTTTGTGGCTGCCGGCATTCCTTGCCTCGTGGCCACATTAATCTCTACCTCTGTATCCCATTGTCTTCTCTTCTGCTTGGAGTCAAATCTCCTTCTATCCCCTCTTATAAGGGCACTTGTGATTGGGTTTAGGACCCACCTGAATAATTCGGGATAACCGCTCCATCTCAAGATTTTTAACGTTATGATATTCACAATGTCCTTTTTTTTTTTTTTTTGCCGTATGAGTTAACTTTCACAGGTTGCATGGATTAGAATGTGAATATCTTTTGAGGTTTATTTTTCAGCCTACCACAATGATCCTTATGGACATCAAAATAATATGTTCCCTATTCGAAGAACACCTCTGCAACATCTTGAGCAAGTTTCACAGCCTCCTCTTTAGTAATATCAGTGTTGGGGAAATAATAGATTGTGCTATAATAACCTTTACATACTTTTCCTATTCTCAAGAATCTACAGTTTTGGAATTATTGTTTTTAAAATTTCTTTTGCAGTCTGGTTTACATTTGCTTACATTCCATTTGTATCATCTATCTCTATATTAAAAAATGTGCCAAACTCAGGTATATTTATCCCAATCCATGCCTGAATAGTTATTGAGGTTTTTACAGTGACCTATCACATTTAAAATAAGGGAGGTATATTAATCAACATTTTATATTTGCAAGTGTCAAAAAATAAGTGACTTAAGAATTAATGGAAATTTATTGGTTCACATAACAAAGAAATCTGGGAACAATTATAGCTTCAGTAGGATCCTGGTACTTAAACCATGGCTTGGTTGCTCCAGACTTGATCTCTCCATCTCTGAGTGCTGGTTCTTTTTGATTGATTTTATTCAGCTAGTTAATACTAAGATGGCAAGGTGATCACTGGCAGATCCAGGCAACTATGCTATCTTCTAAGAGCCTCAGTGGAAAGAGCTCAATATTTTCAGTGATTTCTAGAATTTGCATTCGTTGGGCTGACCAAGTCACAAAGCCAACCCTGGATAGAGCCAGCTCCATCCAAACTGCAGGGACATAGAGTAAGGAGTAAAAATTCTCTTTTAAAAAAAGATTAAAAAGCCATTATCAGAAGGAAGGAAAATATTTGCTGGTCAGGCCACAATAACAGATGTGATATGCAAAGCACAGCATGTAATATACAAAACATCACATATGCTATATATTATCATAGTTTCAACTCTAAGTTTTGCCTGAGGCTTATGGAGTCAATCCCATTGCTCTATAGTCATGTGTCAGGCTCTGTGTACACTTGTGTTTGTTTATATTGTAGATAAAATTTACCAGATGGGAAAAATCCATCAGTGCTGCCTAGCCAATAAGCTGGCCTGGTGAAAGTGATCAGAGGAGGTGGGTAAATTTATCTTTGAACAAATGAATTAAATATGCACAGTAAATGGTTCAATGCACAGCAAGAGAGTGCCGCCTAATCGTTGGGGAAGAAAGCAGAGCCAGCAGAGCAGCAAGCCTCACGCGGTCATTCCTACAGTGGGGTCTGAGAGGTGGCCATAGCCAGGAGGCTAGCAGAGTGCTTTGTAGCACAGCACTTGCCCGAGTGTGCACTATGTTAACTACAGCTGGGTCTGGCATAATCATCCCTGACTAATGGGTGGAGAGAGGAGGGGGTGCAAAGTGCTGAATAAATAAATTACTTAATTACATATTATCGGAGAGAAGAACAGATGGTCAGCTTAGCCCATCTCCCAATGCCTTTGGCTTCTGAATGGAGAGTGGATCCTCAGAGACTGGAGGAGGTTGGGCTCTTGATTCTGTTTATCTTCTGGTCCTACTTGAGGCCCCTGGTCTTCAGGAACAAACAGGCCTCCTTTCCCCAAGGCTGGAAGGCACTGGGTGCTCTAGTGCCCGCTCTAGTGCCCCCTCTAAGCTGAATTAGGACAGGCCTAAGCTGGTCAGCATTTTCCACTTTGTTAATTTTGGCACCAGATGGAGGTGAAAATGGATTTTGTTTCCTGTAAAATGGTTGAAAAGTGATTTTCAATTGAGGATCTAATCAAATGTGAAAGGGGTAGTTGAGCATTTACTTAATGTGCTCAGGAGCATCTCCTATCGTTGTAGACCGTATGCTTGTTTTCCTTTGCTTTGGATGTCCCCATAGAGAGTCCACTTATTTTTCTGAGTGTGGGTTGCTGTGGTGTTAGAGGGAAGGGTAGCTGGGGTTGTATTCTGGGAGCGTCCTGTTTGTTTTCAAATGCTTCAGTTTGGCATGGTAGAGGCTGCAGAGCAGTGGCTCCCAGATGCTCATGCCAGGTTGGCTGCATCGGAATCACCTGAGTTCTTTGTTAAAGTTACACATTCCTTAGCTCCACACATAGGGATTCTGATTCATTAGGTCTTGGGTAGGATCTGGAAATCTATTTCTCTAAAAGCTCCACAAGTGATTATAAAGCAAGTTTGGACATAACTGTGTCTCAGCTGGGGAACAGGAAACAGATGGTAAACCAAAAAGTGTTATGAAATAGATTTTAACAATGGCCTGTTTACAAAGGTATGGGCAAGTTTAAGGGAAAATCTTCAGGGATGGTGAGGTTCCCCGGGCCAGCAATGGTGGGAAACAGGTACAAGGGGAGGGAGTGGTTATGAGAACCTGGTGAGACTTGTAGGTGTTAAGAGAGGACCCCTGGACAGGAACTGTGGACAGCCACTGTCATTCTGTGGTCCAGCAGGGAGGAAAATGAGAACAAATGCCCCAATCTGTCTCTCTTTTGACTTTTGATCTCTTCTTGGTGCTTTTCAGTGGCCAAATCCAAAGGGCCAGGGAGCCCAGTTGACGTAGTCTATAAAGGTCAGACTCCTGAGACAGAAAGCAGGATGGAGAAGGTTGGAGGGTGGACCTAGAAGGGCAAATACAGAATATCTAGCACACAGAGTATAGATAACATGTTGTAGTTATACATTTGTGTGCCAATTTGTGGATGACAAATATGCCAATATGTTTTGTTCTGTAGACATGCTTCTTTTCTCGGTGTAAATTGCCTCCACAGCTTCATCACAGAGACTGTAAACTCTTAAAGAGCAAGGGTGACATTTGATAGAATTACCTTCCTGTGTTGTGCCTACAGTTCAGCCAGTTCATATGCTGCTTCTGGCAAGGGCTGCAAGGAGAATATTTCAGAAAATCATAATTGTCTGCCTGGCTGTCAACTTTAAATTTAGTGACATATTGGTAGGATATTCTATTCTTTCTTACTGAGTAATTATGGATCTATCATTCTATATCTTTGAATTTACTTATTTATACTTTCCAGGGAGCTATTTATATTTGTAACCAATATGGTCTTCATGTTGGTTATTCTCAACATATTTCCTTACGAAACCATATATATATCCTTAGAGAAACCACATTGCTTTTACTTCCTAAAAGATTACATTCAGTTGTGTTGCTTTGTTTTGGTTTTATTTTATGTATTTTTTTCATTGTATTTAAAGCACACTTTTAATGACCAATTATAATTGTAACTCTATATCAGAAGGTTTGGATTAATTTTGATTTTAGTATGCTGTGCATGATGATTTAAGAAATTATTGGTGTTTAGAGTCCCTCTTCATGCTAGACACTAACAGGTCAAAGACAGAGTCTCCTATATCAGCTATTCACCAGGCAACCACTTGTGCTTGGTAGGGAGGTCCAAATCCTGGGTTTCATATGAGGCAGCCTGCAGTAGTGGTTTAGAGCAGGGACCCTGCAGAAGCATCACCAGGGGTATTGTGAAATGCAAAATACAAAAGGGCGTCACTCTGGTTCAGAGTTCTAAAATTGAGTTGGGAAGCCAGACTCAGAAGGACCACATGCATGGCCTGGAACCTTGACAAAAAAGACCCAGGAACTTGCCTTGATCCTTTCAACAGGGCCAAATTGCCCTGACCATAACCTCCTGAAACTTCAGCTGAATTTTGCTAGTGCTGCAGTTCCTGAACAGCAACAGCAGATGAACTATGGACTCATAAACTAATCCAGCCACCTCCACCAATGATAATTCTTACAAAGCAACTTTTGTAGCACACTTAGCTTCCTTTAAAAAAAATCCCTGTTTCCCTCCCTCTCTTTAGAACACAATTAGCTTCTAGCTAAAACAGGATCTCCCAAATTGCAATTCCTAAGACCCCAATAAATGCCTTCTCTTACCAAATTGCAGTCTGGTTTTTCGCTTCTTCTTGGCTGACAGTCTGAATTCTCACGCCACCACTTACTGATGGTGTGTGTGACTTTTGGCATGCTATTTAACTTCTTTGTGACTTAGTTTTTACTTATGCAAAAAGGAGCAGAATTATAGTTCTATCTCATCAACATGTTGTGAAGAGCAAATAAGAATGCAAACAGGGGCTGGGTGTGGTGGCTCACACCTGTAACCCCAGCACTTTGGAAGGCTGAGGAGGGCAGATGCCTGAGCCCAGGAGTTTGAGACCAGCCTGGGCAACATGGCAAAACCCCATCTCTACAAAAAAATATAAAAATTATCTGGATGTGGTGATGTGTGCCTGTAGTCCCACCTGCTTGGGAGGCTGAGGTAGGAGGATTGCTTGAATCTGGGAGGTCAAGGCTGCAGTGAGGTTTGATCCCACCACTGCACTTCACTCCAGCCTGAGTGACAGAGTGAGACCCTGTCTCAAGAAAAAAATAAATAAAAGAATGCAAAAAAGCACATGGTGTCTGGAGAGTGAGTTACTGTTACTCGCTGTTCTAGTTCATAAGTGGAGAACATAAGAGCTAAGGAAATTGTGATTTAGGTCAGGTCATGACAAATTGGAAAGCAAGAAGTGGTTACACTATAATTTTCCTTCAGGTTTCCCTTTCCATTTTGAATAAGGCCCCCTTCCTTTATAGTAAGAAACTACATTGTAGTGATTTACAGATCATTGGCAGAGTTCCGTAGAAGCTGATGTTTGTTTCTGAGGCTCTTTTCTCACTCCTTTCTAATTTCTATGGTGTACTAGAGCAGAGCTGTGACCACAGCTTGCTCTTCATTTGGTCCACTGGCTTTGAATCTCTACTCCTCCATTTTCTAGCTCTTTAATTTTTGGACAAAGCATTTTTACCTCTTCGTGCTTCAGTTTCCTTATACGTAAAGTGGAACCTACTTTATGGGATTGTTGTGAAGATTAAATGTGTGTGTTTATATGTGCATAAAGTTCCTCAAGTAGTTCTGGCAGGAGGCTAAGAGGTCTGTGCCTGTTGGCTTAACTTACTCTCTGCTTCAAATTGCTCATGCTTTGTTACCCATCCCTTTATCCTGCACTCCTGCGTCCTCAAGGTGTTTATACAAAAACACCTTGAGAGTCTTTTGTTCAAACCTTCTTCCCTTTACAAAATGTCCAAGCTCCTCGGGATTCTGACACTTCCAGTACTACTTTAGGACTGACAGGTCTCATCTGCCCCATTCCCCATTTGCTCTTTCCCAAGGCACCTTCATCTTAGTAAATGACATCATATTTCATCCAGGTGCTTTTACTTCTCTCTTTACCACATTGGATTCATCAGCAAGTCAGTTTTATTCAACATCTAAAATATTTCCCTAAGTTCTTCCACTTCTTTCTGCCTCACTGCCACCATCCTAATTCCAGCCACCTTCTTTCACCTGGGACTAAAATAGTTCTTTCTTGCATCGGGGCCTTTGCATCTGTTCTGTTCTTTGCCTAGAATGCTACTTCCTCATCACTTTCCAAAGATGTATCTTCTTCACCATTTATATCTCAGCCCCAAAACACCCTGAAATATCTCCTCACAGGTCTTGATTATCTACTCTGTGTGTCATAACCACCCCTACCCCAAACCCTATAACGCATTGCCATGTTTATTTCCTGTAAGGCATTTTCAAACTCTTGAAAGCATTTTATTTTATGTTTTACGTTTTTGTCTTCTCTTATGATTTTCATAAGGCAGGGGTTCTCTCCCATTCTATCTCTGGAAAATAGCAGTAGAAAAGTAGGATAGACACACAAAAGAATGCGGAATTGAATAGATGAAATTTTTGTTAAATTTATTCAATAGAATGTAGGGAGCTTGGGTAGGTCTGTATGAGCTAGGGAAAGATAAGGAAATGTATACACATTAGTTTCTTCAGTGGGGCAGAGATGGTGTAGGAGAGATGATTATTAGTTTTGCCTTTATGCAGTTTACAACAAATTACATTTAAATAAAGAAAATTAGAAAAAATATTGTATGGTGCTTAAAAACTCAGGCTTTGCATAAAAAGAATGAAATAATGTCTTTTGCAGCAATATCAACGTAACTATAGGCCATTATCTTAAGTGAAATAACTCAGAAACAAAAAGTCAAATACAGTATGTTCTCACTTATAAGTGGGAGCCAAGCTGTAGGTACACATAGACATACTGAGTGGAATAATAAACATTGGAGACTCCAAAAGGTGGGAGGATGGGAGAGGGTGAGGAGTGAAAAACTACCTACTGGGTACAATGTTCACTATTTGGGTGATGGGTACACTAAAAGCCCAGACTTCACCACAATGCAATATCCATGTAACTAAACTGCCCGTGATCCCCCTATATCTATAACAAAATTTAAAAAGGCAAATATAAGCATTCTTTCTTTTTAAAAAAAGTAAATGTCTTTTTAAAAATTGATTGACTGTGGCCAGGCGCGGTGGCTCACGCTTGTCATCCCAGCACTTTGGGAGGCCGAGGCGGGTGGATCACGAGGTCAGGAGATCTAGACCATCCTGGCTAACACGGTGAAACCCCATCTCTACTAAAAAAAAAAAAAAAAAAAATTAGCCGGGTGTGGTGGCAGGCACCTGTAGTCCCAGCTACTTAGGAGGCTGAGGCAGGAGAATGGCGTGAACTCGGGAGGCGGAGCTTGCAGTGAGCCAAGATCACGCCACTACACTCCAGCCTGGGCGACAGAGCGAGACTCCATCTCAAAAAAAAAAAAAAAAAAATTGATTGTTATAGGCGTCAAGCCAGCTCTGCTTGTAATAAACAGAAGGCAACTGCAAAAAACAAAACAAAAAACACCTCAGTGTTTGGAGCCTGATATGGTTTGGCTGTGTCCCCACCCAAATCTCATCTTGAACTGTAGCTCCCATAATCCCCACGTGTCATGGGAGGGACCCGGTGGGAGGTAATTGAAGCATGAGGGCAGGCTGTGGTAGGGAATTCTCATGAGATCTGATGGTTTTATGTGTCTGGCATTTCCTCTGCTTGCACTCATTCTCTCACCTGCAGCCCAGTGAAGAGGTGCCTTCCATCATGATTGTAAGTTTCCTGAGGCCTCCCCAGGCATGCAGAACTGTGAGTCAATTAAACCTCTTTTCTTTACAAATTACCCAGTCTTGGGTATTTCTTCATAACAGTGTGAGAACGGACTAATACAGAGCCAGAGAGACTTGGATTCAAATTCTCACTTCTCTATTTCTTAGTCGTGTGACCATGGGCTGCATACATTTTTTTCTGTTTCTCAAATACAAAAACCTTTCCCCCTGTGTTTGGGCATTTAAGCTTGCTGCTGCTTCTCCCTGGAATGCTCTTCTTTTAGATATTCTCATGGCTGGCTTTAACTCATCTGTCAGGTCTTGCTCTGTTCAAACGGCCCTCCTCAGATGGGATGTTCTTAATCACCCTGTGTAAAGTTTCTGCACTGCCAACTTACTCGTGTGACTGTCCGCTATGTCACCTTGTTTATTTCCTTACAGTACTTATGACTTTATAGAATTATCTTATTTATTTATTTGTTTATTTATTGTTCATTTCACTCAAAGGAACATAAGTTCTAAGAAAACAATTACCTTCTCATTCTTGTTCACCTAACACCTAGTAAAGTATTGCCTGTGATATAGGCACTCAAATGTTTATCAATAAAAAGAAAAAAAAATTTCCACCTGTGCCTCAGTGAACTCGACCACAAAATGAAAGGTGGCTAGCCCATGGGGACATTATAAAGTTCATATATGGTGAAGAAAAGCACTTAACACTCAGCCTGGCACACTAAACATGGAATTCGTAATAACTATGGTTCTTACATTGTCCTAGATAATGTATTTAAATTTTATTAATACTCGTATCATTTTCCACACTAGTAGAATACAGGTCAAATATCTCTTGTCCAAAATGCTTGGGACCAGAAGTATTTTGGATTTCAGTGTTTTTGGAATATTTGCATATTTATAATGAGACATATTGGGGATGGGACCCAGGTGTAAACATTTATTTATGTTTTATATATACCTTATACACCTAGGCTCTAGGCTATAAATTTATTTTTCCCTTGGGGTCGCTGAATAAACTGTGTATTGTGCACCTACATTTTGACTGTGACCTGTCACATGAGGTCAGGTGTGGAATTTTTCACTTGTGGTGTCATGTCCATGCTCAAAAAGTTTCAGACTTTGGAGCATGTTGGATTTTGTATTTTTGGATTAGGGATGCTCAGGCTGAAATATGCATACTAGTTGCTAGATCTTGTGCAACTACTAACTTCTAGGCACTTTACATTCAACTTAGTTCTTCCAGTTGTTTGGGCAGAAACCTTGAAGTCATATTTGATTCTTTTTTTCCACACTCAACATAAACCTATATGCAACTCCTATAGCCTCTACCTTTAAAATATACCCAGAATCTGACAACTTCTTTTTTTTAAATTAATTTAATTTAAAGTTCCGGGATACTTACGCAGGATGTTCAGGTTTGTTACGTAGGTAAACGTGTGCTATGGTGGTTTGCTTCACCTATCAATCCATTACCTAGGTATTAAGCCCAGAATGAATTAGCTATTTATCCTGATGCTCTCCCTCTCCCCACCTGCCATGACAGGCCCCAGTATATGTTTTTCCCCTCCCTGTGTTCATGTGTTCTCATTGTTCAGCTCCCATTTATAAGTGAGAACATGTGGTGTTTGGTTTTCTGTTCCTGTGTTGGTTTGCTGAGGATAATGGCTTCCATCTTCATCCCTGTGCCTGCAAAGGACATAATCTCATTCCTTTTTATGGATTCGTAGTATTCCATGGTGTATATGTAGCACATTTTCTTGATCCAGTAGATCATTGACGGGCATTTAGGTTGATTCCATGTCTTTGCTATTGTGAATAGTGCTGCGATGAACACACGTGTGCATGTCTCATTATAATGAAGTGATTTATATTGCTTTGGGCATATACCCAGTAATGGGATTGCTGGGTCAAATGGTATTTCTGGTTCTAGGTCTTTGAGAAATCGCCACACTGTCTTCCACAATGGTTGAACTAATTTACATTCCCACCAACAGTGTAAAAGCATTCCTATTTCTCTACAACCTTGCCAGCATCTACTGTTTCTTGACTTTTTAATAATTGCCATCTGACTGGCATGAGATGGTTTTGTGGTTTTGATTTGCATTTCTGTAATGATCAGTGATGTTGAGCCTTTTTTCATATGTTTGTTGGATGCATGAATGTCTTTTTTTGATGTCCTTTGCCACTTTTTAATGGCGTTGTTTTTTTCTTGTAAATTTGTTTAAGTTCTTCGTCGATTATGGATATTAAACCTTTGTCAGATAGATAGATTGCAAAATTTTTCTCCTATTCTGTAGGTGGTCTGTTCACTCTCATGATAGCTTTTTTTTTTTTTTTTTTTTTTTTTTGCTATGCAGAAGCTCTTTAGTTTGGTTAGATCTCATTTGTCAATTTTTGCTTCTGTTGCAATTGCTTTTGACATTTTTGTCACAAAATCTTTGCCCGTTCCTATGTCCTGAAAGGTATTGCCTCGATTTTCTCCTAAGGTTTTTATCGTTTTGGGTTTTACATTTGAGTCTTTAATCCATCTTGAGTTAATTTTTGTATCCAGTTTCAATTTTCTGCATATGGCTAGCCAGTTCTCCCAGGACCATTTATTAAATAAAGAGTCCTTTCCCCATTGCTTGTTTTTGTCAGGTTTGTTGAAGATCAGATGGTTGAAAGTAATGGCAAAAACTGCAACTACTTTTGCACCAACATAATAGATGTGCAGCAGAATCTGACTACTTCTTCCCACCTCTGCTGCAGTACTCTGGTTCCAGTCACCATCATCTCACCCTTGGATTAATGTAGTCACCTCCTAACTGCTCTGCTTGCTTCTCCCCTTCTCCCATCTCTTCTCCACAGTGTAGCCAGAGAAAACCCTATAAAAGGTCAAATCATGTCGCTCCTTTGTTCAGAATTCTCCAGTGGCTCACATCTGAGAGTGAAAGTCAAACCATTATCAAAGCTTATCAGGCTAAGCATTATCTTTTCCTCTGCCCTCTCTCTGTCCTTAACTCCTTGTAGTCTCCCCTTCTCTCATTATATTCCAGCTACAGCACATTCCTACCTCCAAGCTCGTGCAAACGCCACCTAGAAGTCTCCTCCCTCAGTTATATGCCGGGCTTACTCTCTCATTTCATTCAGATCTCTGTGAAAACATGACCCTAATAAAGAAAATGTGTTGTATATACACAATGGAATACTATTTGATCATAAAAGAGAATGAAATCCTGTTATTTGCAACAACACAGATAAAACTAGAGGTAATTATGTTAAATGAAATAAGTCAGCACAGAAAAGGCAAACATTGCACGTTCTCACTCATATGTGGGAGCTAAAAGAATTGATCTCATGAAGGTAGAAAGTGGAATGATAGTTACCAAAGGCTGGGAAGGGTTTGTGTGTGGAGGTTGGATGAGAGAGATAGGTTAATGGATACAAACATACAATTAGATAGAAGAAATAGGATCTAATGTTCAATTGCAGAGTAGGGTGACTATAGTTAAGAACAATGTATTTTATATTTCAAAATAGCTAGAAGAGAGGACTTATGTTCTCAACACATAGAAATTGTGGTAATTGATATCCTAAACACCCTGACTTGATCATTGCATATCCTATGCATGTAACAAATTATTACAGGTACCCTATAAATATGTGCAAATACGTATCAATAAAAACAAAACAAAAGGTAAATCTAAAATATGATTCTATAAGACAGGTTATATATATGGTTATATATTATATATATATTTAATACTCCTCATCACTCTTTACTGCATCCTGTTATTTTTCTCATAGCACTTATCACCATCTGACACATTTATCTGCTTGTCTCTTACCCACAAGAATGAAAGCTTGTCAAAGGCTGAGGCTGTTTAGTTCGTTGCTGTATCTCTGGCACCCATCTCGCTAATTGGCACATAGCAGTGCTCATCAAATATTCGTTGAATGAATGAATAAATTAATTAATGAGTGAATCACCTGTTCTTAAGAAGCATATTGTCTACTGTTTCACAAAAATAACCTGAATTTTTCCACTTAAATTAATAATTTAGTGAGTACTTATTTGGTACATTGCTAAGTATTTTTTTCAGCCTTATCACCAATAAGGGATTTTTTTGATTCACAGTATTCACAATATACTTCTTAAGAACAGGTGATTCACTCATTAATCCATTCATTCTTTCAACCAATATTTGATGAGCACTGTTATGTGCCAATTAGCGAGATAGGTGCCAGAGATACAGCAATAAAATAAACATGGAGGGGGGTATACATATCACACACATAGAGATACATGCATATACACATACATATATGTGCATGCACATGTATGTTTGAACAGATGTGAGTATGGATAAATATATGTTTGTATGTGTATACATGTATGTATGAGTATGTGTGCACAAATTTTGTTGGCTCAAGAAAAAGATGGCTTCTTACTGAATGTTTCACTGAAAAACCTCCATGTTCTGCCCCAGGAAATGGTGCCAGAAGCAGGACATGGAAGGAGATAGTAGAGTCCTACACACCAATGAAGCAACCTGACCATGGAGGTCAATACTTTTTCCCATGGAGGTCATTAATAATTTCCCAAAACCCATGGAGGGCTTGGGAAATTATTAAGGGGTTGTACAGTTTTTCTCATGGTCTTTGTGAAAACAAATGGAGTTACTAAATGCCAGTGGAATATATCACAACAAACATAATGACCTTTAGTGGGAGTTTAGTTCTCCCTCTCTACCTTGGAAAGCAGCAGCTCTAATAAACTGAGGTGGTCAACATTTATGGTATGCCTGTCTGTCTCTTCCAGGACCCTTTGAAATATATACATTTTTCAAATTTAGTTTTGTCTGAAAAATCTGCATCCAATTTGAATGAAATTGAATATGTTTCAGGGCACAAGCAGCATGTCTTCCATCTGAAGCAAAATGGAGATGAATTTCAATTAGATGTTCCCATTATAATCTGTCTCCACCTGTAGTTTTCATCAAAATTGCTAGGAAGTGTGATATAATGTATGATCGGGATTTGCCCACTGGCAGCAGTGTCCCATTATCTTAGTAAAAAAGCACAAAATAATTAGTCTGATGCATATAGATAGTGGCTTCTTACAGCAAGTGACTTTAATTGTGGTGAGTAATATATATGGAGTTTGAAATCTTATATATTTCCCTCCCAAGAAGACACCAGTTACTAATTCAGTTGACAAAGTAACAATGTTTCAGAATATTTAATGGAAACTGAACATCCTAGTCAATAGCCACTGTAAAATGTCCATTTTATGGCCTTATTTTTGCCTGAGCTTAATTTATGGTAATTTGGTGGTTGCATATAGCCTGAAAGTATGCTGTTGGCTTGAGAGTTAGTACTTGGATGTTGCATAAATCATAGCTGAATGTGTTGGCTTCATCTAATGCTCTTCTTTCTCCTACAGTTGGAGTCCTTTTCATCTTGTCATTTCCCCAGCTTCTTTCCTGTCTTCAATTCATGGGGCTCTGAGAGATCAGTATTTAGGAGATCTTCATAACATGGCATCTTCCCAATGCTAGGTAGAGTGTTCCTGGGTTTCATAGGGAGGGAATTCAGCAAATCTTTTTGTGGGATAGAGATGGTAACAGTATTTATGTTGCACTAGCCCACCGTTAAGCACTTTAAAAGAAAATATAATCCACTTTTCCTGTCTTCCTATCTGCCTCTAAATTCCATGTTAATATAAAATATGAAATTTAAAAGTATATAATCTGATCATTTCTTTTCAGAAGAGGTTTATAGTAGTTATGTTTTGATTAAATTTGAAATGTAGGCACATGTATACATATGTAACAAACCTGCACCTTGTGCACATGTACCCTAGAACTTAAAGTATAATAATAATAATAATAAAAAAGAAAGGTAGGACAAGTAAACCAGCATGTTCCAAGCCCACATGTAATCAATTTGGGGACCTAAATAATATGAATGAATTAACTGTACTATGGGATTCAGTTTAAGTGACTGGTCTTCTAAGAACTATACTGGATGCTTCAGAAATAATGAAATCATCGCCTACCTTCCACGATTCTTTGATTTTGAATGTTTATTAGTAATTAGTGATTTCCAGAACTGATTACAATTTCTAAATAAATAAAAGTCATATGTCTAATTGTGGGCAATCTTGCTCTAAATGTTGTCAGAAAACATGTTTTAAAATTTAGGTTCTTCTAAATTCCCCAAGTCACAATATAAATGTTGCCATTTATTTATTGCTAGAAAACTCTTATATTTTTCTATTTCAATTATACAACTGTCTTCCTTTGCTTATCTGTAATTATAATGCTAACATGTGTATAAATTACACAGTATTTTTATGTGCATTATCACTTTTAGTCCATATATCAGCCTCATGTTATAAAATTTATTATACATTTAAATTAATTTAAATGCAGAAACAAGCAAGTTTAAAATTAAAATGATATTTAAAATTTTATTATAACATTTTTCTAATTATGAAATAACAAATGTTTATTGTAGAAAACCTGAAAAATGCCAAAAGTACACAGATACTGCTTAATAAGAACTGACTAAAAATGGAAAAAAAGACACAGATTACCAATATCAGGAATAAATAAATGGATATCACTACAGACTTTGCAGACATTAAAAAGATAATAAAGAAATTCAACAAACCATTCTTGGTACATAAATCCAATAACAGATAAAATGTACTAATTCCTTGAAAAATACAAATTACTAAAACTCACTGAAGATGAAATAGGTAACTTAAATAGCCCTATTGTTATTAAAAAATAAATTTACAGTTAAAAACCTTATGTAAAAGAAATCTACAGGTCCAGGGGGTTTCACTGGAGAATTCTTGCAAGCATTTAAACAAGAATAAACACAAATTCTGCACAATTTCATCAAGAAAATAAATGAGGAAGGAATACTTCCCAATTCATCTTATGAAGCTAGAATTATTCTGATATTAAAAACCAGACAGGCCGGGAATGGTGGCTGACGCCTGTAATCCTAGCACTTTGAGAGGCTGAGGTGGGCAGATTGCTTGAGCTTAGGAGTTCGAGACCAGCCTGGGCAACATGGTGAAACCCTGTTTCTACAAAAAATATGAACATTAGCTGGGTGTGATGGCATATACCTGTAGTCCCAGCTACGTGGGGGGCTGAGGCGGAAGAATTGCTTGAGTCAAGGAGGTCGAGGCTGCAGTGAGCCATGATTGCACCACTGCCCTTCAGCCTGGGTGACAGAGTGACACCCTGTCTCAAACAAACGAAACACCAAAAACATTACAAGGAAAGAAAACTTCAAAACAATAGAACATCAATGCAAAAGACTTCATAAAATTTTATCAAATTGAATCTATAATGTATAGGAATAATACTGTAATATGACTACGAGAAATTTATCCTGGGGATAAGGCTGGTTTAATATTTAAAAACAAATTAAGATAATCCACTGAATCAATACTTTAAAGAAAACCCACATGGACATACAAATGATGCAACAAAAGTATTTGCTTTTCCTGAATTCAACATCCATTCATGATAATAACTCTCAAAAAACTAAGAATAGAAGAGAATTTCCTTAGGCTAATAAAAATTATCTATTTAAAAAATCCTATATCACAAATCATATTTATTATCACACAGCCTTGTTCCCCCTAAAAATCAGGAACAAGGAAAGGATGTCCTACCTCACCACTCCAGTTCAACGTTGTATTAGAAGGCCTAGCCAGTCTCAGAGTCAATAAAAAGAAATAAAAGACATGGATTAAAAAGAAGAAACCAAACTATCCCTATTTGCAGACAACATAATTATTTACATAGGAAATCCAAATTCCAAGGCATTTACAAACAACAACAACTCAAACCAAGCAGAAACTCCTAAAACTAATAAGTGAGTTTTGCAAGGTCACAGAATACTAGATCAATACACAAAAATCAAAATCAATCACATTTCTTAATACTAGCAACATGCAATTGGAAAACAAATATTTATATAGTGATATCTATATCTACATCTATCTATTTATATATACCACTGAAAATATCTTCCAAAGTGAAATACTTAGGGAAAAGCTAATAGAATTTGTTCAGAAACTGTATGCTGAAAGCAAATGTTGCTGAAAAAAGCCCTAAGACAACTTAAGTAAATGGAGAGACATACAGTATTCATAGATGGGAAGACTCAATATAGTAAAGATTTAAATTCTCCCCATATTTATCTCCAGATTTGAAACAATTCCAATAAAAAATCTCAGCAGGAAGAATTTTTATAAATATACACAAGCTGGTCTTAAAATTAATACAGAAAGGCAAAGAAACTAAAATAGCTGAAGTAATTTTGAGAATGAAGAATAAAGTTAGATAAATCAAACTAATTTTAAAACTTACTATGAAGCTATAGTAATCAAGACAGTGTGGTATTGCCAAAGGGACAAACACATAGATCAATGTAACAGAAATAGAGTCCAGAAATAGATGAACTCAAATATGACCATTTTATTTTATTTGCACTTAAATAATTTTATGTTAAAAATAAACTTTTTTAAGAACAATTTTAGATTTACAGAAAAACTGAGAAGAAAATAAGATAATTCTCATTATACCTTGCACCCAATTTATTCTATTATTAACATATTAATATGATACTTACATTAAAATTAATCAGTATTAATACATTATTATTAACTAATGTCCATACTTTTTGCAGATTTTTTAAAGCATTTTCCTAAAGTTCTTTTTCTGTTCTAGGATTCCAGTAGGATACATTACAAATTTAGTTGTCATATCTCCTTAGGCTTCTCTTTGCTGTGACAGTATCTCAGACCTTCTTTGTTTGTGATGACCTTGACAGTTTTAAGAGTACTGGTTATGTATTTTGTAGAATGACCCTCGATTGGGATTTTTGTGATGTTTTTATTATGATTAGATCTACATTATGGTTTTCTGGAAGGAAGACCATAGAGGTAAAAGGTCATTTTTATCACATCAAGGGCACATACCATCAACATGTCTTATCGCTGTTGGTAACTTGGATTACCTGCCTGTACTAGTGTTTGTCACGTTTCTCCACTGTGAAGTGATGCATTTTTCCCCCTTCCCCCACTTGGCTCTTTGGAGAAAAATGTACTCCCATTTTTTAAAGGTGGCCTGTGCAAAAAATATTTGAAATTCTTCATCATAGAAGCTTTTTCTCTTATCCTCATTTATTTATTTATTAACTAATTTATTTCTGTAAGTATAGGCCCATAGATATTTATTTTATAATTTAGGTTATGACCCAATATTATTTTAGTTTTTTGCTCAAATTGTTCTAACCTTGGACACTGGGGGCTCTTTTAGTTAGCTCCTGTTTCTCTTTCATATACTCTCCTTACTTATTTCAGCAGTTTCTTGCTTTCTGGCAATAGAAGATACTGTAGGCCTATATTGTATATTTCCTAGTGCAATCCTGGAATCACCCATTTCTCCAAGGATCTCTGATTCTTTATCTTGGAGATGGTATTAGAAGCCAAGACCTGAGCATTATTGCTACTGCTTGTAGGCCCTCTTAGCTGATGGATTAAGAAAATATATGCGTATATGCTAACCTGTGTGTGTGTGTATGTGTGTGTGTGTGTGTATGTCTATAAGTGTTTCCACTTATAAGCATATATACCTATGTTAAGCTAAACATGAGTTGACGCTGAGGTCTCCAACTCTAATTCTGTTACCATATGGATTACTCTAGCTCCTTCCCTAGCTTATCTATATAAACTCCCGCTCCAACAGTGAGCAATGTGGCTTTGATCACACACCATCTCTTTCCTTGTTTAATTTCAGTATGTGTAGCTGAATTGTTATCTCATACTCATGTGGAAAATAACTTTTTTGACTAGAGCATAGGTCTTACATACAATTTCGTTTACCTTTAATTTTACAGCCTGCACTCATTTCCAAAGGTACTCAGGTTAGCACATTTTCCCACACCCCTTCAGAGAAGTTGTTTTGTATGTCTGTAGTACAGTTAGATTCCTTTGTTACATTCTGCATTCCATTCAGGAATCCTGTGACCTACCAAATAAACTTTTAAAACTTGCATATATAACTACACTGTAAAGTGCTGTAAAGTTCATGGGTTTTGATAGATGCATAGTGTTCCGTATCAACAATTATGTATCATACAGAATAGTTTTACCACCCTAAAATCTGTGCTGTGCAAAACAAGTCAACCCCTCCTTGCTGAACCCCTGGTAACCACTGATCACTGTAGTTTTGCCTTTTCCAGAATGCCATATGATTGGAATTAGACTCATGTAACATTTTCAGATTGGTTTCTTTTACTTAGAAATATGCATTTAAGATTTATTCATATTGTTTCATTGCTTGATAGATCATTTCTTTTCATTGCTAAATAATATTCCATTGTATGGGTGCCATTTGGTTTTTACAAAGATGCATAAGTAACTCAATGGAGAAAGTATAGTCATTTCAACAGTGCTGGAACTATCAGATATCCATTTGTAAAAAATGAACCTCTATGAATGAATCATAGATCTAATTTCACAATTTTACAATTAAATCTATGTTTTATATATATGAGGATGATATTGAGGTTCATCTATGATTAATTCAGAATTAATCATAGATCCAATTGTAAAATTATAAAACTTTTAGAAGAAAACCTTCATGACCTGGGGTTAAACAAAGAGTTCTTAGATGAAACTCTGAAAACATGGTCCATAAAAGAAGTTGATAAATTAGACTTCATCAAAATTAAAAAACTTTGCTTCACGGTAGACACTATTTACAGAATGGAAAGATAAACTACAGACTGGTAGTATATATTTGCAAACCAGATGTCCAACAAAGGACTTGTATCCAAAATATATAAAGAACTCAAAACTCAACAGTAGATAAAACAAACTAATTATAAAAGTGGCAAAGACTTGACAGATATTTCTGCAGAGTGTATACAACTGGCACAAGAAAAGATATTCAACAATATTAACCAAGAGGGAAATGCAAATATACCATCTGGGGCCAGGCATGGTGGCTCACGCCTGTAATCCCAGCACTTTGGGAGGTGGAGGCAGGAGGATCGCTTGAGCCCGGGAGTTTGAGACCAGCTTGGTCAACATAGAGAGACCCTGTCTCTCTCTCTAAAAAAAATAAATAAATAGAAAATATGAACTGGCTCCTTAGTACTTTTGTGAATTTCTTTCCTCACTTCACATCAGCCACACACATATCTTTACAGTTTTTGGAATATAACGGATAAAATCTTGACCTTTACCTGAAAAGTACTTCCCCCAAATATTTACATAGCCAGCTATCTCACATCTTTCAAACTTTACTCAAATGTCACCTTCCTAATGAGGCCCACTAGCTCCATCTGTTTAGATTACAGTCTCCTATCCCTGTACTCATAATGCCTCTTTCCATTTTCTTTTTCATAGCATTTATCATTTTCTAACAAATTATATAATGTATTGATTACAATTATTTCTTATTGGTATCTTTACCTATTAATATCTAAATTTTGTGGAAGCAGAGGTCTTAGGCCTTTTTAAATGGTGGATCCCAGTATCTGACATATAGTAGATGATCCATAAATATTTGCTGCCTGTATGAAAGAAATAATGTTGTTGCCCACCATTTAACAGAATTTTAATATTGTGATGTCTGAATATCAAATATTTATCATTTTTATGTGCTTTAAGTTCTTGTCAATTTAGTAGTTAGTTGTAGGGGTAGTTTATATATATAAATACTATTACATTTTCCTGTATCTATATTAGAATAACATAATTTTTGCACAGAATCCCTAGTTCAAAGACTTAATTTCTCCTCTTTTACAATGTTGTTTTATATTTCTATCTTTCTGTCTTTCTCCTCCTCCTGCTTGTTACATTTCATAGGAATTTATAATTGAGTTAGATTAGTGACACTCTTCTTTTTCCTCAAGTATACATAAATGCTTTTTTTTAAAAAAAGCTCAGGAGTTTAAGCTAGTCTTATTAAAGTCTCATGGAAATTGTTTGTTTTTGAAAGGAAGAGATGATGTTGTAATAGACAAGGCTTTGTCTTTTTATGCCACTGAAAATATGGAATTGGATTGTGCATGGTGATTTTTGCCTGTAATCCCAGCTACTCAGGAGGCCTAGGCAGGAGAATTGCTTGAGGCCAAGAGATCAAGACCAGCTTGGATAACAAAGCAAGACTCCATCTCTAAAAAAAAAATAAAAAATGAAAAATTAGTTGGGCATGGTGGCATGTGCCTGTAGTCCCAAGCTACTTGGGAGGCTGAGGTGGGAGAATTCCTCAAACCCAGGAGTTTGAGGCTGCAGTGAACTATGATCTCACCACTTCACTATAGTCTGGGTGACAGGGCAAGACTGCTTCTGGAATTGGGACACAGGAATACAGGTAGGACCTATCAGAAGTAAGCAAGTATATGTTCACTTTCACCAAACAAATTGCGTAAGATCAGATAAGCAGAAGGTCGGCCAGTTTCATTTTTACCTTGCTGCTTAAGTTCAGAATTGAGGTTTTTGGATATACCTTCAATGAGAAGAAAAAAATAGAAAGAAAGTCTTCAGTTTTGTAAAGTGTTACTCAAAACATGTATTATGGATCCCTCAGCTCTTAGTTTAGTTCTTGGCTCAAACTCATGTTGGAAGATATGGATATTGTTATTTCTACTATATAAAATGAATTGAGTGGCATAGACTTTAGAAGCAGTCTTTATGTTGAGAGCCTTTTAGATTTAAATGGTCATTTATTCTTTGACAAATATGTTCAGAAAGCAGTGGAATAATCATTAGTTTTGGAACCACAAAGCACTGGGTTTCAAGTGGGGAGAAAAGCAAACACAATCTTTGGCTTCCTAGGGAATACAGCCTAGTGGAGGGTGGTAGGTTTTTAAAATGATCATGGTGACATGTAATTACAGAGACTTCAAAATTAAAGTAGAAAGAGCAATATAGTAGACTAGAAAGTGGTGGAATAGTCTGGGGAGCACTGGGAAGGTACCCCCAAAAACTGTTGAGTTGGGATATGAAGAGTGATAGTTTAGTTAGTGAAGTGAGATGAGATTGAGAAGAATTTCCAGTTGGAGGTAACAGTATTTAAAACAAAAAACAAAAAAACAAAACAAAACAAAACAAACAAAAACCTAAGCTGGATTGCAGTATGTTGGGGGAAAAGAAAAAAGAGACCAATAGGACTCTTAGTATAGAGAGCAAATGAGAGAGTGTTGCCAGGTATGAGGTAGGCAAAGTCTAGATCATGAGTTGCCTTAAGTGTGCCAAAAGGAATCTTGATCTATCGCTAATGGATAATCTCTAAGAGCTTTGAAAAGCCAAAGAAAGGTTTTAGACAAAACTCAGATGCTCAGAATTTGGTTTCAAAAATATCACTCCATGCTCCCAAATGTGGAAAATCAATTGGGGGAAGAGGAGCTGGAAAAGAAATAGGCAAGTTAGGAGGCTACTTTATATTAGTAATAATCAGGCAAGTAATGGTTGTGACTAAGATGGTTTGGACTAGATGAGTTAGGAGGCAATTGTGATAATCCTGATAATCCAGGCAAGAGATGAGGGTGGTTTGTTCTAGAGCAGTGATAGAGGAGATGGAGAAAAATGAATGTGTTGTTCATTGCTGTCTCCTTTCTATGTCATATGGACCAGAATAGGTCATCTATGTAATCAATGCAATGTATTAGCTGCCTAATGCCAGCTGATATGAAGTTTGCAAGCAAGGCTATGGTCTAATGGATCCCAATTTAAAGATCAAATAATAGTGCAGTTCTTTAAAGGACTCAGATCTCCAACAGGTTCTTCCTGCACTTTTAAGAAAGATGGCATGATGCTTTTGGGAACGGTGGTGCAGATAATCACTCAAAGCTCCAAGCAAGCACCAGAAGAGGAGGACCCTTGAGTCAGGAGCTGCTGCAATCCCTGGCAGCTAGCCTAGCAGCAGGAGGTAGGCAGGTGACATATAGGCAAGGCAGATGTTCTGTTGAGCTACTCCATCTGGATGGGGGCTTTTAGTTCCACTGCTCTTTCCCAGTCTTACAGGAAGCAAGTGCCAATGATGCATCTTCATTAGGATGAACAGGACCTTGTGTAGAGGAAAAGCACTTGCCATTTACCAAATGCTCAGGGTCAATGGGAACCCAGATACTGCACTGACAGCGTTGTGGGAGATTGATGGGGCCTCTTCAACAAGTGTTTCTCCGAAAGAGTACTTGTTGACAGTATTAAGGGAAACCATCGAATCCCAATCTGTTTTGATACAGGGATAAAATGTGTTAATAATAGACTCCTCATTGAATAGTCTGTGCCAGGCTTTTCGTGATTTGCCTCCACTCCTTTCCTCTTACTTCTCAGATCTCATTTCCCTCTGCCCTCCCACATTAGCCACGACAACTCCTCATGGTATCTTGAAGACCCCAGGCATATTGCTAGCTCACACACTTTGAATTTTCTGTCTAGAATTTTCTTCTTCCAGATATGTGCATGTTTGCTCTGTTACTTTAATAAGTCTCCATTCAAATTAATGTCCCAAATGAGGCCTTCCTTGACCGCCTTACTCCTCAATTGCACTTGTTTGCCTCTGGCCTTTCACCCAGTTTTCTCTCCTTGCAGGATTCTCTGCACTGCTGAACTATGAAGTGCACATATGTTTGTTTATCTGTTTGGCTCCACAGTAATAATGCAAGCTCCATGATGTGGAGATTTTGTCAGCCTTCCTCACTGTGTCATCCTCAGCATCTAGAAAAGTCTGCACAGAGTAGGCCCTCAAGAAGTATAAGAGTGATTGATCAAATGGATCTCATTTAATATTCAAAGCACAACCTGAGAAGTACTATTGCTATCCAATTTGACAGAGGAGGAAATGAGATTAAACATTTTATATAAAATCAAACCCATACTGATTTCAGAGTCTAATCTTTTTACTTAGGCTATTCTGTCCCATTTTAATATTTGATTTTCTCTTATCATATAAACTGAAGAGAAAAAACAGAAAATACTACTTACCCTTGTTATCAAAACTGTCCTTTGCCAAGCCCGTGGACATGATACCAAGATAGAGCAATGGTGTGGCTATTGTCTAGGTACAAGAAAACCTTTTTGAGATTGAAGGTAGAAACAGATGGGAAAATATTTTCTGAGCACTTATGATCCAGGTTGCCTCTACTTCGATTATAAGAGAGAATTTATATGTGTATATGTCTCAAAGCAGCAACTTGGCATGATGCTTCCCCTGAGGAGCAGACAATGACCTTTTTTGGACAAAAGACAGATGAGAGAAACTGAAGACAAATGTCTAAGAGATTCTCAGTCTCTTTCCAAGAAAGAAAACTGTAACCTCCCAGTCTCCTGAAGATGAAGCTCCAAAATCCCATTTCTTTCTTTAAGCATTTTGTGCAGCCAGAGGCAGAGAGTGGCGGTAGTGATAAGGATTTAATGATGTGAGGTGCTATTTGTGTAAATAACTGTGAGAAATATCAAATCTTACAAGTGGTAATGACCATAAACTCCAGCTCCCTAAAGTCAGGTTGGCAGTGTAATCTGTTCATGCATAACCTAGTCTACCATATGTTAAATGCATTTGGTGGGTGGCCATTATATTAAATTTACTTCCCTATTTCTCAGTTCTGGGTTTGCTTGTATGGAAAACCAGACGCTTTCCCCACAAAAAGATCTAAGCTGCTGACTCTTTGGGAATTTTTATTGTGAGTATGTCCTTGAGTGATTATTTTTTTTGTATTACTACTTGCAGAAATATTTCTTTCTTAACAAGCACATTGCCAAATTATATGCATTTCAAATGATTTTGCCAGCATAAAAAATTAGAACTGTAGGTGTGGTAAACAATATATCAAACAGGAAATCAGGACTTAGTGATAGAACTTGGATAAACTCGAATACTGGAAGACTAGAGTATTATACATAATAATTTTTTTGTATATTAGCTGAGGGTTAGGCATTCTCTTCCTTTTTTTATTCAACTCTGAAAATCTTTAATAATGTCTAAGTTCACTCTCCTGACATTGAAAACAATATATTAAACCTAATAAGATCAACTTTTAATTAAAAATCTTAAAGTGTATCAAGCAAATCTTTCTAATTTATCAATTTTCATTGATTGTAATAGATAGAAAATTGGCCTAAATGTTGCTTGATTATAAACCTAGAATTTTAAAAATTTTCCTTTACAAATACTCTAAATTTTAGCCAAATGGGAAAATCCTATTTAGATGAAAGTGATGTCAATTTGAATTTCAAAGCTCTACTGCATTTTTATATTTTCTCTATAAAATATTGATATTTCTTTGTTCCCTTCTTTTCTTTTTAAATATCAATTTAATACCCTCACAGTCTAATATTTCTTTTATTATACTGCTATCTCTATCTCTAAACTCCTAATAATGTACTAAAACCTCAATTTTATTTGTTCTTAGGTTGACTCACTTGATTTAAGGAACTTTAAAATAATAATTGCAACTGGGTTTTCCTCTTCTTTTTGAATATAATAAAGAGAAGAATAAAAGATTGGTTGAGAACAAAAATGAATGAAATATGTAGTTAACCAAACTTGAATTTATATATTTGTTGGCGTACATACACATTTCATCCAAAATATATTTTATCTAAATAAAACAAATAACAACTTACATAATTTATTATTATGATTTTAAATGTGTATTAGTATATTTGTTTTATTTAACAAATCTTTATGTAGAGCTCACCATGTTCCAGGCATTATTCTAAGAGCTTGATAGGTATTAAGTCTCTTCATTAATCATTATAACCACCCCTCTGGGGTAGGTACTATTATCCCCAATTTGCACATTAGGAAAAGAGACACAGAGAGGTTACATGATTTTTCCAGTGTTTTACTACTAACAGATGAAAGAACTGTGATTTGAAACCTCCAGAATATGTGTTTTTTAACTACTGTGCTATGCTGTTAGTCCTGGTTGCTTAAAAGATGAAAGTGTTGAAAATGTCAACTTTCAGTGCCCATCATTATTTGGGACTATTAATGTCTGGAAAGAGATGAATGTTATGACCTATCTCTTTTACCTCAGGAAAATACAATGAATATTTTATAAGTATATACATTTATGCATGTTATATATAGTCACCTACTACAGTAAGAATAGTTATGACTACATTATAGTTCTGGAATTTCCTTATGATTTGTCCTCTCCAAGGATTTAGACATTTCTGGATAATTCTAGAAGAGGCTAATGGAAATGTCCAAGTGCAGATCAATTTGTAGCTCTTATTCCTTTGGTCCCCCTTCACCTTGGGGGGCTGATTATCTCTTTGTATTCCATGCTTTTCCACATTCAATATGAAACCACAATGTACTCATGATTAACTTAGATTGTGGATAATTTTTTACAGCCAAGAATTGTCAGTTAGCCTGCACTCAAAATTCTCTCCATGAAATAATATCAGAAGAGCTAGAATTCTTATTATGACTTAGATGTGAATAAGCATGTATCTTTCTAATGTGGTTTGGCTCTGTGTTCCCACCCAAATCTCATCTTGTAGCTCCCATAATTACCACGTGCTATGGGAGGGACCCAGTGAAAGAAGATTGAATCATGGGGTGGGGCTTTCCTGTGCTATTCTCATGATAGTGAATGGGAAGATCTGATAATGTTATAAACAGGAGTTTCTCTGCACAAGCTCTCTTTTTGCCTGCTGCCTTCCATGTAAAATGGGACTTGCTCCTCCTTGTCTTCCACCATGATTGTGCAGCCTCCCCAGCCATGTGAAACTGTAAGTCCAATAAACGTCTTTCTTTTGTAAATTGCCCAGTCTCGGGTATGTCTTTATTAGCAGCATGAAAATGGGCTACTATACTTTCTTTGTTTTCCAAAACTAATTTCATATTGCTCCCATATTTTTGTTTTACCTATTTCTTCTAGTGGAAGAAAAAAGAAGTAAAGCTTTCCAGTTATGTTTAAACTCTAGTTTAAAATTATCTCTTGTAGGTACAAATACAGTCAGTTCAGAGTTGACACTCACTTTCAAGGATGTTTTGTCCTGGCTGATTCCGATGGCGTGTGAATTGCTGGTCTGGATCCCGGGTATGTCAGCACCTGCCGCAGATCACTGCAGACCTTGTCCTTGTCTCTTCTTGTGAGGTCCTTACTCTCTGAGGTCTCATTGTCCTAAGCACTTCTCCAGTCCTCTGCTCCTATTAGTATCTATGACAGAATGTTGCTGTAAAAAATTTCAAAGGTAAAAATATGTAACTGATGCACCTTAACCAAGATTAAAATGCAGCTGATTTGGGAGAGAAGAACCCTTCAATCAAATCAGTGTGGTGGAAAGGGGTCAGAATACTGAGAGGAGAGCATTTGGGGGAAGACTTTCTTTCTTTTTTTTTTTTTTTAGATATTCAACATTATTTAATCATTCAGGAAATGCAAATTAAAACCACAATCAGAGAATAACCGTATATCTATTAGAACAACCATAATTTTTAAAGGCTGATCAATTCAAGGGTGGCAAGAGCAAGAGCATACAAAAAAAGCAGTATACAACAATATGAATAAATCTTAGTCATATAATATTAAGGGAAAAAAACAAAAGATTATATACATCATGAAAAACTGTTTACTAAAGTTTTTTAAACAACTAAAATTTTTGAACTATTTTACAAAAATACCTATCCATAACAATAATACTATTTAAACAGAAAAATAAGAGAATAATGAATATAGGATTCAAGATAATTCTTACCTCAGGTTGGGGAAAACAGAATAATAGGTTGCTTAGGAAAGTTTACAGTTGGATGTAAATTATTGACAAGGTCCTACTTTTTATTTTGGGTGGTTGGGTCAAGTATTTATTACATTATTTAAATTACGTAACTAAATAAGATTAGACCATGCGTGGAACAATAATGAGAATATGCCATAATCCAGTCTAGTAATTAATCAATCCAATTACATAAACCTGAGGCCAATTTTCAATATCATTATTGTAAGTAATGTTCTTGTAACATGTAAAAATGTTTTGTAACATACAATATGACCAAAAATGATGTTTTTACAATATATTTTAAGGTTTAGCTTTCCTATCATTTGTAATTAATCTGACAAACATAATATATTTATGATTGCAGACCCTTAAACTAATACTGAAAAGATAAAACTTACCATCAATATCAACAGTCTTTAGTGCCTGTCGCATTTCTTTTTTTTTTTTCTTTTTATTATACTTTAAGTTTTAGGGTACATGTGCACATTGTGCACTGGCCATCAGAGAAATGCAAATCAAAACCACTATGAGATATCATCTCACACCAGTTAGAATGGCAATCATTAAAAAGTCAGGAAACAACAGGTGCTGGAGAGGATGTGGAGAAATAGGAACACTTTTACACTGTTGGTGGGACTGTAAACTAGTTCAACCATTGTGGAAGTCAGTGTGGCGATTCCTCAGGGATCTAGAACTAGAAATACCATTTGACCCAGCCATCCCATTACTGGGTATATACCCAAATGACTATAAATCATGCTGTTATAAAGACACATGCACACGTATGTTTATTGCAGCATTATTCACAATAGCAAAGACTTGGAACCAACCCAAATGTCCAACGATGATAGACTGGATTAAGAAAATGTGGCACATATACACCATGGAATACTATGCAGCCATAAAAAATGATGAGTTCATGTCCTTTGTAGGGACATGGATGAAATTGGAAATCATCATTCTCAGTAAACTATCGCAAGAACAAAAAACCAAACACCGCATATTCTCACTCATAGGTGGGAATTGAACAATGAGATCACATGGACACATGAAGGGGAATATCACACTGGGGACTGTGGTGGGGTGGGGGGAGCGGGGAGGGATAGCATTGGGAGATATACCTAAGGCTAGATGACGAGTTAGTGGGTGCAGCACACCAGCATGGCACATGTATACATATGGAAGACTTTCTTTAGATAATGTGGTGCTAAACCTGTGAACCAGGGTTCTCCAGAGAAACAGGACCAATAGGATCTATGTGTGTATACAGATATTTATTTTAAGAAATTGGCTCATGTGACTGTGGATAGTGGAGTGAGTCTAAAATCTGGTGGGGGAGGCCAGCAAGCTGGAGACTCAGGAAGGAGTTGTAGTTCAATTCCAAAATCAATTCCTGGAAAACCAGGAAGAGCCAATGTTGCAGATGAGGCCCAAGTCAGTCTTATGGAGAATTTTCTCTTGTGGGAGGTCAGATATTTTTTCTATTCAGGCCTTCATCTAACTGGATGGGGCCCACCCACATTATGGAAGGCAAATTAATTTACTTAGGCTCCACTGATTTAAATGTTATTCTCATTCAAGAAACACCTTTACAGAAACATCCAGAAGAATGTTTGACCCAATAAGTGGGTACCATGACAAGTGCCAGCATAACCTCTCCCCTTGTTTACTTGGCACCCATATGCATCTTTTAAAATCATACTTAGCTCCCAAAGACAATTACAAGGTCATACTTCCACCTAACATTGTACAACTATCCTGAGTACAACAAAAATGCACTAACCATTTCCAAATAAGATGATGCAAAGTCCTTTAATGATGTTTACTCTTCTTGATATTCCATAACTTGAATACTATGGTGTAAAGTTAACAATAATTACATTCTATGATATAAAGTCAATATGTCTATGTTATGTGATAAGGGGATAAGAGAAGGGAGATATACACATGCATATACACATATTCATAACAAATTAAGGAAGAAGTATTCATGATATTATGATAATTACAGGTCCTTATCTTTGTAACTGGTCATGTGGCTGTAGCAGGTATTTATAACTACCTTCTTCCACGGCTCATTCCATATTCTCTTTGCCCTCAGCAAGTATCTTAGCTGGTCATACTTCTTTACCTGGTTGGGTGTTCTAAATCTTAATTCCCGAAGGTTCTGGGCCATTAGGAGTCCTGCCTGAATTGAATTGTTATAGTTTTCCATTGGTATAATCCAGGATGTGGTAACACTAACAGATGCTCTAAGAGATCTTGCGTATTCTAGATATATTCTTCTTTCTCACCTGCATTGTAGCAGGGCAGTCCAATTTCTCCCTAGTCCTCCAAGCACTTTGGGCAAGGAATTCTCTACTCCTAGCTTTAGGTCTAATTAAGAGTTGGGGCCTGCATGAAACTTCTAGGAGAGCTTACAGCTGGTGCTACTGTGAATTGTGGGGCTTCACTTATGTCAGCGAGAATTAAAGAAACCTGAGTAAAGATGAAGAGAGTTGCTAGAAAACTGCATTTAGGAAACAACTACATGTCCACAATAGCCCAGCAGATAATGCACATTTTCCATGGACCAAATGTGGGCCACATTAATGTTAGACTTGTCCCTGAATTAATTTAGGTTCTACTGAAGAGAAAGGGAAGAGCTTCCAGTAGTGACAGTCTGTGCAGAGTGGGCCACCGGAGAACCAAGCTGAGGAAGGCTTGTCCATGTCATTGGAGCTGTTCCTGGCAAGCTCAGAGAGGAGGGAAGCTCTGAAATCCTCACAAAGTACCTGGGTGAAATATCTGCCAGGCCCAGAGAGCATGGTGTTGCTCTATCACTTTCATGCCATGTGGGATATGATGCCACGCTGAACACTTGAGCTTCTCTGAGATGCTCCCAGCCTCTTGGATACACTCAGGAAAATGGGGTACCCACTCACAATGGCCTCAGATTCCTATGAAACTATCTGGGTGTTTCTGTGCCTTTTTCTCCCTCAGAGGTGGTGGATTGCCACGATGTTTCTATCCTGCTCTTTTTTTTCCTTTATTCCTTCATTTCCTCCCAGTGCTGGAAAGGTTCTCTGCTTCATACTTCTCTCTGGCAGAAACTTTTGCCTTATGTTATGGCTGATTATTTTTCTACTTCTTCTTAGTCACATAATCCTAATGCAAGAAAGGATGCAGGGGACTAATGTATTTTTAGCAAAAACAAAAAACACAAAACACTTTGGGAGTAAACTTTTGACTGTTTCTTCAGAAAAGCTTCTCTCCTTTGTGTTGCTAAGATCAGTGGAATTTTATGGGCTTGCCTTGCTTAAGGTAGGGATGTTTGGGTAGAATTCCCATTGCATTAAAAACCTTAACTCATGGTTACTTCTTGCATTACATGATTACTTTATCTCCCTTTGTCCAGTTATGGATCTCTTTTGTTCCTTTTTCTTTTCTCTATTTAATAATCATAAGGTTATTTATCCAGCCTGGGTTAGAGAAGAATTATAATAACCTTATTTCAATGCTTTACTCTCCTTCTTATAAGTTGTTTTTAGAAGCCAGGATCAATCATTAGATTCAAAAGGATGGATAAGTTGGACAATAATTATATTAAACTCTTTGAGAAGATACATGCAGGAGATAAAATTCTAGATTTTTCCTAGACAAAAAAGATAATTGAATATTCAATAACAGTGATAGCTAATAACTTTAGCATTTTGTCTCAATAGATAGTGATTTTTTTCTGGTGGGGGGGGATAGAGGTGTATTTTCAATAGAGATTTTAATTGTGTAATTTGACTTCTAAAAAAATAGGATGCTAGATGGAATGTCTGTATGTGCATTTTCATTAAACATTCTTTTTAATCAGATATATTTAAAGATTCTTGTTTGGGTTAAGTCAGATTTGTCAGCTCTTCAATCAGTTTGTAGTACATTGTAAAAGAATATACTCAAAACAGAGCTAAGCTGTCAAGCTGTGACAACTTGGAATGAGGAAGATTTTCAAAAATTATGAGTGAGATATTTTAAATGTCTCCTTGACATCCACAGCACTATTCAAAATACTTCATCAGAGGCATGCGCTTTCAAAATGTACTTGAAAATTAATGTAAGGAGTGTAATTTGTCAGTCTTTGTCTTAGCAAACGAGGCACTGACAGTCACGGAGCATTCTTAGTAATATAGCACTGACTCTCCCCACCTGGCGCTGCCAGGCTGCGGGAAAGATGGAGTGACCTCTTCAAGGGGCAGTGAGAAGGGCCTTAAGCAAAGCAGAAACATAAGAGGCTTGATTCCAAGACCTGTTGATACCTGTTTGAGCTGATGGCAAACGGCAAACTCCATTTGTCCTTTGCCAAGCGGATTGTGTGATTTAGTGATTCCTCGAAGGAGCCATTTCATCCTTAGCTGTATGTTGGGGACATGAGCTATTTGTCCGACCTCAGCTCATGATAGGGAAGGCTGTGGCAAAGCGACAAAACCTTGACTATTTATTTTAAATAAGTCCCTTAAGGGACGAAGGAATATCTCAGGCAAGGGGCAGTCCTAAGTTAGCTTCCTCTAAATTCAAGGAAACCTTTCCAACACCTGACCTGGGAGAAACCTCCAGGGAGGCCACTTAATTGGAGAAGGGGCTACGAATGAATCATATTGAGCCATGAACTTTCACGTTTCTTTTCATTGCTTCTCCCTGCCCAGTAAATGCATGTGTTGTGTGCTTGTCTGCGACCAAAGTTTAAGAAATCAAAGTGGGAAAGGTACCCAATTCTGGATATTGACGAGAGAGATGTAAAATTGATTTTAAGGTGGTTCGGCCTTTCATGTGCGTAGAGTTTCTGATGTTTTAAGGTGCACCAAAGGGAAATTCACAGTAGGGACTCATGACAGTGACCCAGAACCCAAAAGTCAGGAAGGCTGGAAATCGGGTTCTAAGAGCCAGGCAGCTACTGTGTATCAGACCATGGTGGCTTCTTTTCTGTAAATGTGTCTGCCTTTCTCTCTGTGTACAGAGGAAGAAGATGTTTCAAGAAGTGAGGAATGGCCAACATCTTAGATGCTGCGGCAGCATCATACTGGAACAATGGGGTCTGTGGAAACAGCCTTTGGGCTGAGTGATGAGAATTAACTCAAGGAGGGATGTTTTAGTGGGGGTGGGAAAGCAACAAACTTGTGCGGCAGTGAGTTGAGAAGTGTAAGACAAAAGAATATGGAGGCGGGACAGCTTTTTGGTTATATATACACACATACATATTTTTATCATTCCCTAGGTAACCACTTAGGAAAAGGGGCTTTAGAAAGGAGATAGATGTCAAAGGATACAAAATAGCAGATATGTAGGATGAACAAATGTGGATATCTAATATACAATATGAGGACTAAAGCTCATAAAATTGTATTGTCCTAGGGATTTTTGTTAAATAAGTAGATTTCAGCTGCTCTTGTCATACACACAAAAAGGAACTGTGGGAGATGGCAGATATGTTAATATGCTTCACCACTGTAACCATTTTACTATCTATAAGTATCCCATAATACCTTGTTATAAACCACAAATAGACACTTCAAATTTATCTAAACAAATAAAAGAAAGGTTTGATACTTAGCCTGAAATTATACATCTAGTGAGTGGAGCAGATGTAGGATTCAAACATATGAATGTCTTCCCTGACGGACAGGGCTCTTAGCTGTGATTATTTTTTCCACTGATTTCATGAGGGCTGTGAAGATGTGGTCACTTACAGAATCGAGAGCCTTCTTCGTCCCAGGGTATGGTAAGTCACACAGGTCATATACAGTAGAGGTAGCTTCCACGGTTCGCTTAGTCTCACAGAAAAATAACATAGCTCAGGGAACGAGTTTTTATTTTTAATCCAGTTATTTAGCCGGACTCACCATAGACATAATTGTCTAATTTGCCCTAGCCCTCCCACATCACTTGAAGTAAATATACTTTTTGAGTGGCCTACTTTTCCGTTTCAGGGAAGGTGTAATGATAGAGTATTTTGCTATTTGACTTGTACATTCTATCTGTAGCTTCTAGAATAAAAGAATAATAGAGACAATTAGTTCTGCTAAATGCATCTTGGAGTCATGTGTTAGCTTATCTATGGATTTTCTCCTTAGATGTTTAAATATTCCCCCTGTAATTTAGGTTTCATCAAACAAAGGAGATCTGATTTAAGATAATTCTCTTGGTAAGAAAGCAATTGCTGCTGCAATCTGCCATTCACCCAGAGCCATTGATCCCAGGATAAACATCCATTTATCAGAGAATTCAAAATAAAACACAACATATGCTGTCGTTTACAGCAAATTGATGAGAATTCCGCATTCTTCCCAGGTTCTCCTATCTAACCATTATTTCGTTTACTTTGGTGAAAATTAATGTAAAATATTAGTTTCATCTCTTTTTACTATTATTCTTAATTCAAGCTACAAAGCTGGTTAACATTGTATAAAGTCAGTGTATTATTTTAATCTCATTGTACAGTTTTGTTTATCTAAAATAGTCTTTTCGAAATATTAATAGGTGTTTAAAAATGGTCTCTTTTATAAGCCACTCCATCCTTCGAAGCCATTCATTCTGCAACGTGTTAGTTAGGTGCTTGGGAGGAATTCAGGCATTTGGATTGTGACTTTGGCCTTGTGTGGTGACCTTCTTGCAGCAACCATATAATCATCTTCTGAAAGCTATAGTTCAGGTATAAAAGGGTTGTGGCCATGAAGAAATGCTTTTCATTAGAGTTGTCATTGGATTTTGCAATCTGCATGTAGCAAGCAAAATGACCATAAGATGATAATTAAGTGGTCTCTTTATTATTTCAGAGAGGAAAAAAGTTCACAATTATGGTGATTACAAAGCCTCTGAATTGGAGATAAAAAAATACAACATAAAACATTTGTGTGAGCATAGATTTACTCCTTTCATTTTTTAAATGTAGATGATATTTTTTCTTGAATAATGACTGTCTTGTAGGACAAGAGGCTCTTGACTGAAGGTTGGCATTAAAATACTTGCTGTCTAACAACAGTATAAGCAGATTGTACAAAGGAGACTAATGTTTAATCACTGAAGTTCAAAACCAAGGTTTCTCTCTACAAGGCGTGTGTGGAGCCTCTAAAAGATGCAACAGATGGGTACCTCAAATTTAAATTCTTTTGATGATGATTAAGGATTTTCTGCTTAAAAATGATGAAAATAAACTTTCACTGATAGTCTTTGAAGATAACAGGAGAAGATCTATCAGAAAATTATAAATTTTTTGTGGGATTCATTTTAAAGTAAGTGGTTGTTGCTTCTCTGTACTATGTGATGCTACTTTTCTGCCTTTTAATATACGTTTTCACTCGAGCTCACATAAAACTCAGAACGAAGCTGTAGTTATACATAAGAGTGTGTGCATTATTTCTCATACTTTACTAAATTGAAAACCTGATTTTTTTAAATCTCTGGTGAAAAAAAAATAGAGATGGTCCCGACAGAACTGTTAAATCATTTGTCTTTCTTCTCTCAGCTGTTGATTCACCACCTCAAGCAAACAAAACTTACCAATGACCCACAAGATATGGTGGATGTGTTCATATATCTGTCTGCTAGTTTTCTCATCTGTAATCTGAATGAGATTATGTGAAATTTCATAAACATCAATTATGAACATTTTTAAAAATTCCTAATAAATTCTTTTTTTTTTTTTTTTGAGACGAAGTCTCGCTCTTGTCCCCAAGTCTGGAGTGCAATGGCACAATCTCGGCTCACTGCAACCTCTGCCTCCCAGGTTCAAGCGATTCTCCTGCCTCAGCCCCCCGAGTAGCTGGGATTGCAGGTGCGTACCACCATGCCCGGCTAATTTTTTGTATTTTAAGTAGAGATGGGGTTCACCATGTTGGCCAGGCTGGTCTCGAACTCCTGACCTCAGGTGATCTGCCCGCCTCGGCCTCCCAAAGTGCTGGGATTACAGGAGTGAGCCACCGCACCCAGCCAAAATTGCTAATAACTTCTTAAGTTGCTTTCCCCATGTCATTGAGGAGTTGTTTTGAAAACTTCTTTCCACTGCAGTAGGTCCTTAAAGCCTTTCCAGGGAGTTGCCACCCAGGGTTTTACTACCAGAGAAAGGCTCTCTTGAACACATTCACCTTTGATTATGCTTAATGTGTTTATTAACAAGAAGTACATATGTCTTCTTATAAAATTTGTTATTTTGGTTGTATACCAATGCTTTGCTAATTCAGTAACCACATATCTAATAAATTAATTCTGTATCTTTATTGAATCTCAAAAAGCATACCATGTAAAGTGCTTGCTTAGTATCTGCAGGATAACTTTTTATATTATAAACTATCAATAATTATTGATTGGACTAGAGAAAGCTGTGAAATTCTAGAGGGGTAAATTTGTACTAAGTATAAATGAAACATCACATAACATCATAGAAGACTTTTTCAGCTCCAGAAGGGCTTTAAAAAAAAATCATCAGTGTATTTTGTAGTTTGGATGGCATACTAAATATGGATGAAAAAAATCGATATTAAATGCATTTATTTAAATTAAAAAATATACATCATATCCAAATGCAATAGCTCAATGGTTGCACTAGAACAATCTAAAAGTTGTTAATTCCATAGCATGAAGCCCTATATATGCAAAATGAGATGAAATCTACTATGTGCCAGTGCTCCAGATTGCTGGCTGCTTTTGCCTTCTGATATATGCGAAAGCTCAGTAAAATGTGCTATGTGAGAAAAGAAGTGAGTGAGTTTATATTATTATTTCTAGTAGAACAAACTGCATTACTTTGTTTATAAAAAGCTTTAGAGGTCCATTGTTTGCTTTTCTCCTATTTTTATTTTAGATTATAAATTCCTCCCAGAATTTAGTGCAGTTTTAAAAAAATCATTACCTTTAAGGAAGTAGTCATAAATCTACATATATTAGCCTTCTTAAAGCTGTATTTGCATAACTGATTTGAAAGTAACATTTGTTATAAGCTTAAGTCTCGATGCTATTATCCCATGGCAGTTAATTTCAACCACTGTGAAATGTCAAGGGTGACCTGTTTATAGTGACTCTCATTCTTTTCCCTTGCCAAAGCAGAAGGCACTAGATAAGCATCTAGATTCTAGGAAGTTGAGGAACAGGCACCTGACACCCCTGATGATTGATTAATCTCCTTCTCCCCCAAATTGAATCAAAGGCATCCACAGCTGTTGGGTGGTCCCACTCTTTATTCCCTTTGACACTTCCTATTGGCTGCTACTAGAGTTAAATCCTAAAATAGACATCTAATAATGGACTTCCACTGCCCTCAAACTTTTGAAGTGTCTTTCCTAGAAAGTACCTTGAAATCCTACCCATTCTTTAACATTCACCTCTAATCTCATTATCCAAGTTGGAATTAATTATTCTTTCCTTCATATTTTTATGACACTTGGCTTTTCTATGTTATAAGGACAACCTCACATTAGTTGCTATACATCTACTTTTTTTGAATTGATGCTCACTTGGGACACTAGAGTGTGAGGGATTAAATGAGCAGGGATTTTGTTTATTTTGTTCACTATATCCCTCAGTGTCTAGCACAGTGTTTCCACACCTAATAGGTGCTTAATAAATATTTCTGGAATGGTTGAATGATTCCAATGGGCTTTCAAAGTTTTTTTCTTGTGGTAAGCTTTAAAGAATATCATTGTCTTGTTCACCTCAATATTCCCAGTACAGAGGGCACTTAGCACCTTGCAGAAATAAGAGGCTTTATAACTATTTGTTCCATAATAGATGGTTGGCTGAATAAATGAATAGAGCTGTTTTCTCCAAAGCCCAAGATGCTCTAAAAGGCAATTGATCTTTGAAAGGTATAATCCTGAGTATTTAAAGAAATTTTGTCATAAATTGAGTAATTAAAGTAGTAATATACCCACAGCACTAAATAAATAGCTGAAAACAAGACAAAACAAAGTGTTCTATAACTTAAAGTGTTGCCACATGAACAGTCAGTTTTCAAAAGAAGACTACATGTAGCCAACAGTTATATGAAGAAAAGCTCAACATCACTGATCATTAGAGAAATGCAAATCAAAACCACAATGAGATACCATCTCCCATCAGTCAGAATGGTTATTATTAAAAAGTCAAAAAACAACAGATGCCGACAAGGTTGTGGAAGGAAAGAAATGCTTTTTACACTGTTGGTGGGAGGATAAATTACTTCAACCATTGTGAAAAACAGTGTGGCAATTCCTCAAAGACCTCAAGACAGAAATACCACTTGACCCAGCAATCCCATTACTGTGTATATACCCAAAGGAATATAAATTATTCTGTTATAAAGAAACATGCACGCATATGTTTATTGTAGCACTATTAACAATTGCAAAGACATGGAATCAGTCTAAATGCCCATCAATGACAGACTGGATAAACAAAATGTGACATATATGTATATGTATCTGTGTGTATATCTATATCTGTGTATATATATCACATTTTATTTATATATATACATATGTGTGTATATATACATATCTATGTATGTGTATATATATGTTTTCATTTGTGTGTATGTATACACACACACACACACACACACACACACCATAGAATGCTATGCAGCCATAAAAAAGAATGAGATAATGTCCTTTGCCAGGACATGGATGGAGCTAGAGGCCGTTATCCTTAGCAAACTAATACAGGAACAGAAAACCAAAGACTGCATATTCTTGCATATAAGTGGGAGCTAAATTATGAGAACACATGGACACATAGAGGGGAACAATGCAAACACTGGGCCTATCAAAGGGTAGAGTGAGAGGAGGGAGAGGATCAGGAAAAATAACAAATGGATACTAAGCTTAATGCTGGGGTGATGAAATAATCTGTATCACAAACCCCATGACACAAGTTTGTCTGTGTAACAAACCTGCACATGTACCCCTGAACTTAAAATAAAAGTAAAAAAAAGAAGTTCCCAGTTTTTGGATGATGATGTACCAGACACTGGAGATTTACGCTTTTAGTTTTTATTCATGATCCATTTGGAGAGGTCTTCCCTAGCCACCCTGTCCACAGCTGTACCTCTCATCTGAATGTACTTCTTTAATTGGTTTATTTTGTTTCATAACATTTATCCTTACCTCACATAATATTATATTAGTATATTGTTTTTACGCAGTAAAATGTCTACAGTTCTCCTGCTGGAATATAACCTCCATGAGGGCAGACAGGTCTTGTTTCCTGCCTGGAGAATTGTACTAATACCTGGTATATAGCAGGTACTCAAACTTTTTTTTAAGCAAATGAAAACATTTTCTTTAAAAGCAAATAGTATCTCAATATTGCCTCCTGCAGTCCTGTGGCTCTACTGTTTGACCATGGGAGTATATGTTATCTCTCCTTATTTATTATCCCCATTTGAAAAATAAAAGTCTTCCTCTTTGGAGATTGAGTGTCGTGTTTATTTTATGCTTGATGATCCCTTGGTTAAGGATGTATTCATGAGAAATAATCAGTACAAATGACAATATTTATGTTAAGCTCTTTTTTTCTATGAAATTATTCTTTAGAAATTTTGCTGCCTCTAATCTTTCCAATCTGCCATAAGATTATCCGTGAAATTGCTACAAGATTTGCCAGTGGTCTCACGGGATAGGGGCTGCAGCATGAAAATTACACTACAGTATTTTGAAAAAGTACATCAGAATTAATTCATTGTTGTTTTTCTTCTGATCTGTAAGCAGTTTAAATTCATACTGGCCTCTGCTGTGTGTGGGAGAGATCCATAGATAATTTGTGCCTTTAATGACAGAGGTTCTCACAATTCTCTACATGAATGTCATGACAGGGAAGACAAAAATCCCTTTTTGCCACTTAGAAATGCAGGACAAAGCAGCTGACAAATGTCATCTGGAATTTTATGTCATACAAACACATATTCCCTGTGTCAGCAAGGGTACGCCTATATGATTTTAGCCGTTTCCTTCTAATTTCTCTAGAAATAATGGGTTAGTTCACACAAGACAGTGTGGAGATTATTGATATAATCACAAATTGAAATGGGACCCTGAGCTCTCTGTTCACAGAAAAACTCGCCTGGCTTTCTCTGTATTTGAAGTGATTAACGATGGTGCAGCATTGTGGGAAAATGGTATGTCTATAATTATATGAAGCCACAGGAGGGAGAAACCCTTTCTGAACCTGGTCTTTGAAGACACCCAAGTTATTTGAGTCTAAGCCATTAGGGGGAAAAACAGGAAGAAAAAAGCAAGAAAACTATAAAAAAAATCAGAATATGTAGTTGTGACACTGGTCTAGGGAGAGACTGTGTGAGACAGAAACAAAACGGTTGGGGACATGAAAAGGTAACAGACAGCAGGAGATATTGGTTTAGCAGTTAAACAGGAGACTGTGCAAAGCCAGAGCCCTCATCCCGTTAGCTGACTGGCATCTCCCTGTCATCCCTATCACTCCACCCTCCTTTCTAACCTGTAATATGGAGACAATATTTCTCACCATCTTTTGTGGGACACAGTGACACAGACAGACTGCTAAAAATAGAAAAGACGATGTCAATATTATAAATAATGACGTAGAATAGGCTGGTCTTCACTGCAACCTCTCTCTCTCTTTCTGTCTCTCATATTTGTTAACGTACAGGCCTTCTTAAAATGTAGAAAGACTTAGGACTTATGTGCATTTCAGAATCACCTGTAAGGTGCAAGCGGCGTCTGGGACACTGTTTTCTCCCCAGCAGTTTTGGTGCCCTGCTCGAAGGAGATGGACTGTATTCTCCGGCTGCCCAGGGGCAGAGTTGGGGCTGGCCAGAGGATGTGAATACAAACCGGCAGCTTATTTCCATTCCTGACCACTTGGTGACACTCTAGCTTTAGAAACTGCTCAGCTACAACAAAACCCTGGCATACAGCTTCCTTCTAGGTTGGCTTCTGTGGTTTCAAAGACAGTCATTGTTTTGAAGAAGGTCATTTGGAGAGTTCGGTGGCTGATGTGATTAGAATGTGTACAGCGAATCGCATTCCAGGTGCTTTGTGTGCTAACACTTAGGTGTTATTACCAGCATTAATTATCCAAGGGACATGTAACAAACACAGGTGGGCCCTTGTTGGTTCATTTAAAAGGCAAGGCTCTGCAGAATGCAAACCTCCAGGTAGCCACGCTGGCCTTTAATTTGGAGTTTAATTTAGGGGTAGCTGGAGCACACCAGACCTCGTCTATTCATAGATTGGATGTCATAAAAAGAAAATTATTTCAATATTAGTTCCTCTCCAACATATGCTGCACACACACACTTACCCCTAGAGTAAAAACAGTCGGCAAGAACTTGAAAATGTTGTTAAATATACTTCCTTGCATGTGATAGTTTAGGTTTTTTTCCTACCCTCATCCTCTTTACTTGCATAACTTTTTATTCATTAGTAAAAATGACATTTTTCTTCACAGAAAGAACCATCTATCAAATGAGTTAACTACCCCCAGGTTGCAAAACACATCACCCAAAATGACACATCTTCATCTTCATCTTGTTCTCTACCTCCCTTTTTCTTCTGGGACCAAAAGGGATTCGAGGAAGAAATTTGTACACTTTTTTTTTTACAGCATCAAGATGACTTTCTAAAACGGAGGAGATTTCAGTATTTAGCTGAAGGTCCTTGTGTTCTGTTTTAATGGGAGCCTAGGAGGGGGGGTTTGCCCACTTTTAAAGATGCTAGTGAGAGCCGTGCTTTTCTGACTCATTAATTTGGAAAGGCAAGAGGAGGCTGCCATTAAGAAATGTCTTTGCAATTAATTGCATGTAAAACCAAGTTTTTTTCTGACACATTTATAGAAATTGCTTTACCTTATTTATGCTGATATGCTTCTGCTGGCCTTAGCGTGAGTGGAACTGGCCCTAGGCAAAATCGAGATGCTGGCAAAATCTGTTTCTAAGCCGCTTCTGATTTTGTTGCTCACCTTTCCCTTCTCTGAATCCAGAACTTCTTTTTTATTTCCCCTTAAACCGTATTAGTTTTGAGTTCAATTGCCTCTGGCATTCCACTTATGAACGGTGGACTGTCCTTGGGCTTGGGGGTCAGCAAGCTCTGGTAGGACCCTGACTCTGCCATTTTCTTGCTGTGTAAGTTTAGGGAAATGATTTAATTTTCCCATTTTGAATAATCAGTGAAACACGGTAGGTGAAGCTTGGTGTCTGGCTTCAGAAGAGTGGAACACACAAAGTGCTTGTTAAAAATGAAATTTTCTAAATCTTATTGTAGAAAACTGGCTCAGAATTTTAAGGAAAGACTCAGGAATCTGCACTTTTAAAAGTGCTCTAAGAAATTCTCAACACTTACCTAAGTCTGTGAACTCCTGGCTTAAGAAATAAATCTTCCAAGGGGTAACTGTCTTTGTAAAAGGATCAGGAAAAACAGCATCACCGAAAGGAGGGGATGAGTAATGGGGGAGGGGGGTTACTTAGATATCATGGTTTTTTTTTGTAGGGAAGAGATTTGTGGGCAAAACAGGGTGTGATTTGATCAATTTGTGGTCCTGAATCCCATCTAGACAGGAGAAGTTGGGCATTTGATTCAGTATATTGTTTAGGCAAAGTACACAGTACCTCCTTTCTAAAGTGGAGATGCTAAATCCATTGATTTTATTCCTTCGATGTCATTTTTTCCAACTTTTTAAAAGTTGTTTTCTGTATTAGATCATTCCTCCCACCTTTGCTGATTAGTAGAGGCTTTTGCTGGACTGTAAGCTCCACGAGGGTGGATACCGTGATTTTGTGCTCCTTTGGGATTTCAGGTTCTAGCACAGCACAAGCATGTGTGGTAGGTATCTGGTCAATGAATACCTGAGGTGGGTAGAAAAATTTTCTTAACCTCTAACACGTACTGATCAATCTTCCCTTTTCTTCGTTCCGTTCACCTTTGTGTATACTTAAGGCCTGAACAGATTGAGATTCAGTGAGCAATAGAACTGTTTCAGGGGAGGTTGATGCTCTGGATGAAGCTGGGTTGCATGTATTGAAAATCAGGGATGGCTGGATTTATGGAAGGCAGATTTTGAGGGAAATTAATTCAGTATTGGCTTGTGCCTGGCCATCTTTCTAGTTCAGATCATCTAGGAGATTAAAGATCCACTAACCCAATACCAGTCTGATTTGCAGAGCATGTTGACCATTTGGAAAATTGAGCGATGGAGCAAGTTACTCCCTGCCGGGCTTTGATGTTGACCCAGACATTTAGTGCCTAGTGAGAAGATTTTAAGGAGTAACAATAGTGAGGATTGTTTTGAACATGTTTAGTATTTCCCTGAGGCGGTAACAACTATCTAATTCTTCTCAGAATTCAATGTACATAGGGGAAATGCAGATTCCTGGGGGCCCCATTCTAGATCAAACCCATATATTGCAAACCATAGGCCTGGAGGAGAGCAGAAGAGAAGCCCAAGAGATTTAATTGGACTTAGTCTGGAAGAGGCTTTTCATGGGGTCCAGATCATCCCAAGTCTCCCACTCTCTTCCCCTCATCAGGGGCACTAACAGGAGCAATATCTGACATGTGTAATTTATTCACTGCTCTCTACATGGGAAGTTCTGGCATAGGAGTTAGCAGTATACTTGGTCTATATATATTTGACTCCAGGCCTCATCCTTGTCACTGGTTCTTTTTGTGTTTGTTTTTTTTTGAGATGGAGTCTCACTCTGTTGTCCAGCCTGGAGTGCAGTGGTGCGATCTTGGCTCACTGCAACCCTCACCTTCAGGGTTTAAGCCATTCTCCTGCCTCAGCCTCCCAAGTAGCTGGGAATACAGGTGCCCACCACCTCATCTGGCTTTTTTTTTTTTTTTTTTTTTTTTTTGTATTTTTAGTAGAGATGGGGTTTCACCATTTTGGCCAGGCTGGTCTCAAACTCCTGACTTCTGGTGATCCACCCACCTTGGCCTTCCAAAGTGCTGGGAATACAGGCATGAGCCACTGTGCCCAGCCTGGTTCTATAAGCAATAACCACATAACTTTTTGAATCTCATTTGTATCACCTGCAATATGGTTTAAGCAAGCAAACTTCTCTCATGTGCTCTGGCTATCCCTGTGCCCATATTTTAAGTGGGTTACAAGAAGAGTTTTGTGGATTTTTGTTATGGTTGACTTTGAATTCTTAATATTAGATGGGTTAGAAGCCCAATTTCTTATTTTCAATAGTTGAGGGCGGTGATTTTCAAAATGTGGTTCCTGATCTAGTAGTGTCAGAATCCCTGGGACTTGTTAGAAATGAATATTGTGAGCCCACCCCAGACCTACTGATAAAATGTTGGTGCGGAGCACAGCAAGCTGTGTTGTAATAAAACCATCCAGACTGTTCTAATGCTGCTCTCGTTTGAGAATGACTGAACTTTAGGGAATGTTCTTTATTGGAATAAAATTTTAATGAACACCAATTTGGCTGAATGGATAATCCTTCATATAGCAGAATTTAAGGAGAACAGATAAAGGCCAGTCAGGGGCTGTGTATGGTAAGAGGAGAGTAAGACAGTATCTTGGATCAGCTACATCACAGTTACCTTAATTGTTTTGGCTAGGGCTGACCTTATGCTTATATTAGAGAAGTTATTTAAGCTCTGAGTTTTGTGGTTCTCGCTTGTAAATTTGGGGGAATAATAGGAGTCCTACTTCACTTGGCTGCTGTGGGGTTAAATGAGGATGCATCAAAGTGCCTCATGCAGTCTGGTGTGCCAGGTGTTGGGTGAATGGTCCCTTGTGTACCCTCACTGAGTGATGTGTGATTCCACTAGACTACAAGCCCAAGGAGGGGCAAGGCCTGCATCTCTTTTGCTCATTGTTACAGCCTTGGAAGCGAAGACAGTTCCTGACCCAGACATTGTTCAATAAATATTGGTTGTATGAACAAATGAATGAATGAATGAAAAAAGTAAATGGATGAATGACTACACCAGTTTTGTTTGGATATATTGGCTGATACAGTATATGTATGATGAAACGTTTACTTTTTGAGGCAGTTTTAACCCATAATAAAAAATTTAAGGGACATACAAGAACTTCCATATCATTAAGTATAAGGGAATAGGGTTCTTGCACTAAATGGTGAAATTAAATTAATATGGGTATTTCCTGATTCTGTGTAAGTGATTACATGAAAATTTTCAAAATTTCAAGTTGTGAAATACTGCAGAGATCTATCACTGAAAATATTTAGACAGACTGAAATTTAGGGTAGATCAGCTTTGCAAACACATTTTTTCCCCTTTGGTTTCCTTATGAATCATTTGTTTTTGACCCTCAACAAATAAAGGTTGCCAGGAAAAAAGAAAGTCTCCAGTGAATTTCTGCCTTTACTTTAATTCATTCCCTTCCTCCTTTTCTTCTTTGTCTTCATTTTCATAACCATTTTTTTTTCTTATTTGGGTTCCAACTATTTGCCAGTGATGTTAAACACCCTATAGGCTTTACTTTTTTTCTAAATTAATTTTTTACCAACCATATTATAACCACTCCATTTTACAGATGGAAAGACTGTGACTCTGACATATAAGTAATGTAAGCAAAACAGGACTGAAACTTAGGTCTGATTTCCCATCCACCCCATGAGAGCATCTCGTCTCATGCTCTTTTCACTATAGCACCTGGAACAGAGAAACATCTTCATTGCTTTTTGGCTAGATGTGGTTACCTGTTACTCCCATACTTAGGAAGGGTAGATGGGCTTTCCAATTCTTAGAAGACTTGCAGGTGAAAAGGAATGGAGTGAAAGTAGCCAGATCATGTGCCATAGGAGGAGGGAGGATGGCCTTTCTTTTTGTCTAAGAAGTGGATGTTCAAACATCAGAATGGAGAAAACTTAAAAGGGAAAGGCTTTGGCGACCTTGGATTTGGGCCAAGGAACGCTCTCAATCCTCTTTACTGTTTACTCACCACCCCTTGGTTGCACCTATTCCAAGTTCTATGATTTGAACTTACTTTTTTGTGGGCCTTTGACACTGATTGTCTGCGCTCTCTCCTGCTTCCCGTTCATTCATGGAAACTTGAAGCTTCTGTCAATGTATGCCTGACAAGTCTAGGCAGAAGTGATCTCTCCACTGCATTCGTGACTCTGTTTGACATTCATTTGGCACTCAATTACGTATTGCCTTTTGATACCAATAAATTAGCTAAATAAGAACCATTTAATGTTGAATAAGTAGTGTATTGTTTTCAGACACAACTGTATTGTAAAGGTTCCATAAAAATAGACATCGCTTAAAATAATCATATGAATGAAATAACTAATTTTCATTAAAAAACCGGTGTATCAATTTCATCTATTCCTCATATGAATTTGTGTTAACATAGCTGGAAAATGTAGTCCAAAAGGAAAAATAAAAATCAACATAATTCCAGAGTCCAAAGATAACTATTCTTAAATTTTAAATAGATTGAGGACAGAGACTATTTTTTATAAACCTGAAATGTGTAACAAGGTTCTAGTCACGTAAGGAACACTCAGGGTACATTAAAAAATTTTATTTCAATAGTTTTGGGGTGCAGTTGTTTTTTTTGTTACATGGAAGAATTATATAGTGGTGAATTCTGAGATTCTAGTGCACCTATAACTCCAGTAGTGTACATTGTACCTAATGTGTAGTTTTTTTTAAAAATCTCTACCCTCCCCTTTCCTTCACCCTTCTGAGTCTCTAAAGTCCATTTTACCACTCTATGCCTTTGTATCCTCATAGGTTAACTCCAACTTATAGGTGAGAACACATGGTTTTTGGTTTTCCATTCTTGAGTTACTTCACTTAGTATAATAGCCTCCAACTCCATCTAAGTTGCTGCAAAAGACATTATTTTGTTCTCAAGATACATACATTGAATAATCCAGCATGTTCCACAAAACATAGTTGATTAAACATAATTGATTAAGCTTACAAGAGAGCTGAATCATATTTTCTTGACTTGACTGTTGACTTTCGCTCCTTCTTTTCTTTTTACACAGCTGACTGTCCAATATGACTTCTGTCCAATATGACTTCTGCCCAATGATGTCAGAGACTGTTGTTATGTAGAACTTCTACTCATAGGAAAAATCACACTTCCCTTGGCCAACACTTTACTTTTTGTTTTAAGAAACCAGAAAGGCTATGTTCTAATGTTTTCTTAAGTAAAACTTCCAGGCCCTAACAAGTTGCATTTTTAGAAAAATCTTACTCAACTTAACTCCCCGTGGTTCTGTAATGTCATCTATAGAAAAATATCTTGAAATAGCTGTGTCTCTTTGTGTCTGAAAGATTGCTCTTTCCTTGGTCCATGAAGATTTATAATTATGTTGATTTAAAAAAACCCTCCAGCTTTGACCATATTTCCCTCTCCCGTTGAATTCTTGATCTTTTATGATGAAAAGATACATGCTTTTTTCTGGATCCTTCTCTTTCTTTTTTTCTCACCCTTTCATCAAAACGGGATGTTTTGCCAATAGCTTTACTGGTAGTACTATAAAAAGTCATGGCTGAGAGCCTAAGATTTTGGAGTTTCAAGTCCTTACTTCATCACTGTTTAGCACTGTGATCCTGGGCGAGTTACTTAACTGCCTCAGTTTTCACATATGGACAATTGCAACAATAATATTAACTACCTCACAGAAATATTCTGATGTTTATAAAAGACATTATATGATAAGAGGCTTAGCATACTGCCTGATTGGTGCCTCAACATAAGAAGAGCTGTCTTTCCCCCAAAATATCATCCTCCAGAAGATGGGGTGGCTTTTACTACAAAGTTATTATGGAATCTCTCATAAGAGATGTGCTGTACAATAGCACATAAAACCACAGAAACCCTAATGACCTCAGTGAATGCGAGTTTTCCATACCTAAAGCGATCATCTGCCATGATAGGTTTAGAAAAGAAGCCTCCCAAATTAAGAAATAATTAGTAAATGTTCCTGGAGATTTCACATTATGACTTCAAGTATTGCATGTCACTGTGAACAAAATCTTTAAAGAGTCTTTAAAAAGGAAAATTCTGTGTGTTTGGGTTGTGGAGATTAGGTATCTACTTCTATAGGATGAAGAGAAAATGCCTCAATGTAATGCTGATGAGTACTTGAGGCAGGAGGTGATATTGCTACCAGTCGCATCATGCACAATTTCAAACAACTTAGATGGAAGAGAATATAATGAGTGCTAGAAGACTGTTAGACATCTCAAAATATGCATCCAGAGATGATAATGACATGATGATGAAGACGCATGTGAAGAATTCCAAGAAAGTTATTCCAAGTATTGTGAGGATAGTAAGGAGTAATATATCTAAACTATGTCTAAATTAATGTACTTCATACAATATGTGATTTTAAATACACTTGCATATAGAAATGTACAAAAAATAAACCTTAGAGGAAAATATTTAACTTTTTGTCTCTAAGTTGAAGTTAATATACTGAAGTTGGCTAAAAAACATTTCGGGAATCTTCATATTGAGAAAATGGAGGACTCATATTCTGGGCCACCGTCTGTTCTAGCATATATGGTAAAGAGTACTAAAAGATTAGCCCCAATCATAGCAGCAACATTTCAAAAAAGATCAAGTCTCTTTAAAAAGTAATCAGTCTGATATTTTGAACTGGAATATGCATATCTTTTGTCATGGGGATTCCTTTTTTTTAAAAATTCAACATTATCTCATTCTATTGATCTTTGAAGCTATCAAATTATGCTTCCTCGATTACCATTTTTCTCCTATTTCAGCCCACCACCTTTGCACACATTCCCTAACCACACACATATTTTTTCATGCTATAAAAATAAATCACTCTATAACTTTTATGTTGGTATATTTCATGGTAGAGTATTATTCATAACATTCCTGTTTAGTGTATTCTATGTGCCAGTCACTGTTTTAAGAACCTTATGATCATCCTGTTTAATCCTCACAACCACTTTCTCGGATGGACACTACTCTTATCCCATTTGAAACAAGAATAACTGAGGCACAAAGAAGTAAAGCAATTTTCTCTAGGTCACATAGCCTATAAGCAGTACAGCCGGTGTTTGAATTTAGAGTCTGACTTCAAAATCTCAGGCCTTAACCACAATCCTATACCCCTCCACTGGCTAGGCAGTCTTGTTTATGTTTATTTAATAAGAAGACAACTTTTTAATTACAAAAATTGCACATGTTAAATGTTAAAAAGCCATAGTAAAATTGCTAAATTTTTAAAACCTCAAACAATGGTAAAACACAAGTTGAGAATGAAAACCCCTCCTCCACTTACCAATTTTCATAGAGATGACTATTATTAAAAGTTTGTGTTTAGCCAGGGGTGATGGTATACATCTACAGTCCCAGCTACTCAGGAGGCTCAGGAAGATCACTTGAGCTCAGGAGTTTGAAACCAGCCTGGGCAACATAGAGAGATCCTGTCTTAAGTTTAAAAAAGTTTGTTGAATATTATTTCTAATTATGTAGATATAGATATAAAATATATATTAATAACATCACAGTGAACATATTCTGTAACTCATGACTGATTCATTTATATGTCATGCATGTCTTTCCATGAAAGGATGTGTGGTTCTGCCTTAATTTATTGGTTCCATAGTATGGATGTAGCATCATTTCTGTAGTCATTCCACAATTCATGGCCATTTAGATTACATTCATGGGAATATAGGAAACTATATGAAAATGAATATCCTAGACTTTATCATGTCTGTGAATGTCAATTCCATTTTTCTCAAGTTCAGGCTTAATCTTGATATTGCTCTTGATGCCCTCTTTTTCTCTAATACCCACATAAAATCCATCAGCATATTCCACTGATTCTATTTTTAAATATATGCAGACATTGGTCATTTTGGTCATTTCTAATCACCTCTTCTCACTGTCATCCAATCCATTACCCCTCATCTGAACTATTGTCATTACCTTGTAACTTGTTTTTCTACTTGCCAATAGCAGCCAAGAATGATCTTTTTAAAACTCAATCAGATAAAAATCGCTCTACTCAAAGACTCTCCATCTAAGTCACTAACAGTCAAAGTGTATGCCATGGTCTTTAAGACCCTCCCTGAGCCAGCATCCTACTACTTTTCCCAACCTTGACTTCTACCGCATTCCCGTGTATTCACATTACACCAGCCACATTAAAATATCTGCTATTTCTTAAATATCATAAGCACAATTTCTCCTTAAGATCTTTGCATTTGTTGTTCCCACTGCCTACAATCCTTTGAACCATTCTTCCCCCATATTTGCTTGACTGACTTCTTCATTTCTCTTTTAGGTCTCTGTTCAAATGCTATCACATCTTATTTGTTGAATGAGTGTTGAGTGAATGAAATATTTACGCAATTGAATAAATATTTCTGGAGAATAAGTTTCTAAAAGTGAAACTGCTTACTTGTTTTTCTTTTCAAACCCTTCGTTATTCCAGTCCTCCATCTTATATCCTTGCCTATTTTATTTTAGTATTCTCATGCCCCTCTTCAAAATGCTTCTGTGTTCCTGTCTGCTGTTTCTACTGTGGAAGGCTGGCTGGCTCTTTGTCTCTCCTGGGAGCTCTGGAAGAGAAGGAGACACTAGGCAGCTGGTCTGAGTCTCGTGGGCCACTTTGCAAGGCTGTGATTTCAAGAGTGACCTTGGGGTGTGACTGAGTTGTCATTAAACAATTTAATAGATGAAATAATCCCCTCTTCGTACTTCAGCCACACTTATTTCTTTCCAAATATCTGGCACCATGTTGTAAACACTCAACACTGTAAAGAAAAGATGTTTTTTTAAAAAAATCTGTCTTATCATATTGGTTTAAAATAAAGAGGATGTATATTGAAATTAGAACAAATCAGAGAAATCCTGGGGTTTTAGTCATGAAATAAAACTTTTGTCCATATGTATCTTTAAAATATTGTGGCATTTTTGTTCACCCTTACCACATTCCATTTGAGAAAATCATATGATTACTGTTAATGACAAAGCAATTTATGATTTCCTGGATAACTAGGATAAGAATGAGTAATTAGGATAAAAAAAGATGGAATTTTTGAGCTAGGAGAACTCATTTGTTTATTCCCCTAATTTTCTACAAAAAAGGAAACAGATTACTGTAGAGGTTGGGTGACTCGTTCAAGGTCACACAGCTAGTTAATGGTACAGGTCGGTCCTCTGACTCCAAAAATAGTGCTCAGTAGCATCCATGGAACAGTGTCTGTGAACCAAATCTTTTGCTAAGTGAAGTTCTACCTGATAGATAATTCCTGTTCCTTCCAATTGTCCTGATACCCTGCAGTTTAGTTAGATTACGTGATTTGGCCTCATATTTCTTCTGGAGCTAGCTGGATAAGGATCACCCTATTAGGGGGCTTAATTTTGTGCTAATGATCCTTCTTTCTGTCTGAAGTCTTCAGGTTACAGTTTTTTCAAAGAAACTCTGTGCTGCTTGTCCTTTTTTGCTTGCTGCATGACGTGCACATCAGTGCCTCCTGCAGCCTTCCACTTGTTAATTGTCTCTCCTTCCTAATGAAGCCTGTATCAGCTCCAGTGCTAATTGAACTTCGTCCTTCATTCAGACTGTGTTATTAAACAAATAGTCACAGTGTTTGGTCTCACTTTAATAGGAGCATTGATGTTTGCTTAACATCAAAAACTTATTAGTAATCCATTGAAAAGGCAATTAATGGAGGACATGTAGGTAAGGAAATTGAACTAGTCTGCACCACAGGACAAAGAATGGCAAAGACGTTCTGGTTTTCTAAGGTTTAACTGTCTGTATCCTGGTAGTTGCAAATTGATTGTTAGATTCTTGACTCTTACCCAAATCAATGAATTTATCATTTATGTAAAGTAGCACCTATGTGTCTAATATCAAAGCGAAGGACAAGCTGGCTTATCCGTCTCTGAAGTTTTCAATCATTCTCCCTCTCTCTTTATGACATTTTCCCCAAGCTTTTTAGCAGGACTTGTCTTTGTGGTTACAGAAAACATGAACAGGTGAAAAGAAGGTAATGCATCACTTGCAGTCTTCCCACCTATAGCTAACCACTGATAAGCTTTGGTGTGTATTCTTTGTTCTTTGGTGCTGCATTCTAACACACACATAGAGAGGCACAAAATTGGATTAGATAGCATATTGACCTGTTGTTTATTTTTTAATTGGTCATATATTCTAAGCATCTGTCCTGGACAATAAATAGAGACCTATGTCATCATAGTCAATGGCTTTGATATAATCTCTTGGTTAGATAGGCTGTAATTCATTTCATCATGTTGTTAGAGGTTTAGAAACAAGTGTTTCTTACTTAATTGTTTACAGAGCCTTAAGTTAACTTCATTATTTGCATGAGTAATAGTAATACTAGAAAATAGTAATACTAGAAAAAGAAAATTGCTAGACTACTCTGTTATAAAATAATTCTCCTCTGTTTTGTGAGAACATGCAATGTTTGGTACTATCAGGGTACAAGTTTATAGGCTACGTAACAACTTTTCTGAGTATCAAATTTTCCTTACTTGCAATTTCACCAAAAAATTATTGAGAAATAACAGGTTGATCAAGAACTATTTTTAAGATAATGGCTTAAGGTGTGGATTTTTCTCTACCTGTATACTCATGAGGATAAATGATACCTGGGTACAAAGGAGAAACAAACTCAAAATATGAATCTAATGGCATCTGGCAGTGGAGTAAAGCAGAGCAGATCAAATTCTCTTTACAATCCACATTACATAGATATGAAAGGAGAAGAAACAATAACGGGTCACTCCATTTGTTCCACGGACCTGGGATATAATGTGAAACTTCCATCTGTGTTAATGAGTCATGCATGGCTGGCTCCCCAGGCAATATTTAGTAAATGAATAGTGTTATTGCCTGGCAGGGACCCTTTTAGAAAGTGCTGTTGTTGCGCGAACCTAAATATATATATATATATACATATATATATATATGTATATATTCCGGTTTAGCTAGGATTATGATGCATAAAATGTTGGTAATAGGTTTAAAAGATTAACATAGACCAGCTTTCCATGAGATTGTTCTTTATATAAAAAAGTTAAATGCTCTTTCTAATGTCATCATGAAAGTCAGGCTGGAGGATTATCGATTTTTTGGAGGCTTTTACTAGATAGCTTGATAATTGACTCTCTCAAGTTTTAACACTTGGTCCTGGGTTTGCTGTTTACCTTGCTGAAGCAATTTGGTGTAATTAATTTTTATAGCTGTGTTTGCTTTTAGGGTTTATACTTTGGTGGAAAGCTATCTCCAGTCAAAACCTCATAGAATTACTTTTTTCTTTGAATTAAAACATACAATTGTTTAAAATAAGAGTCTCATCTATAAAATTAAATAGAGAGTAAAATGTAAAATCTTTTAACATCTTTGCAACTACATCAGATAGACATGTCTGTGGATAAGGACTGAAAAGAAACAAAACTGGACGCAGTTAATGTGTTAGGTATTAGAATTGATCCATATTTTTAGTAAAGAATAAGTAAAAATAAGGGAAAAAGAGGCATGAGGTGAGTTGTCGTTGTTGTTGTTTGGCTGGTAACGTCAGTTTTGTCAGTTTGATTCGGTTGGGGCCGCAACTATAGCTTGGCTGCGGGCAGGGCCAGCCTCACAGGTTGCTGAGTTCCAGTAGGGTCTGGTCCCAGGTCTGATGAATCTCCACGTTTCCTCCTTGGCACTGGCCAACGTCTCTTCTAGGTCATCGGTGGTTTTCTCCAACTTTGCCACAGACCTTTCGACAAACTCTGCTCTGGTCTCAGCCTCCTTCAGTTTCTCCTCCAGCAGTTTCATCTCCTTTTCATATTTCTCTTCTTTGGTGGAATACTCCTCCTCTGAGGCCATCAGGGACTTGACGGTCTGGTCCATGGTTTGAAGTTTCTCCTCCAACTGTCTGGCTTGGCTCTCGGCCACCTTAGCTCAAAATTTTGTTAAAATTTTTTTCTTAAATATTTTTAAATTGATTTTTAATGTGATACAAGATGATTGCACAAAGTTAGAAATACAAAGTAAAAAGAGGAAAACAAGGAAAATTGATAATTCCTCCATTCAGATTCATCATGGTGTTAAATTGTTTTATTTCATTCATTCCAGTCTTTTTTTTTCCTTCAGTATGGGTACATGTTTATATATATTTTTGCTAGTATAATAGAATAATGTGATAAACCTTTGTGTATACACATTTTGTGTACAGTTCTGACTATTTCTTTAGGATCAACTTAAACCCTAAGTTTTAATACTCTGAAGGCTTAGAGTTACCTTGGGGCTTTGGGCTGGAGAGAGGGATTGGTGGTACTGAAGCTGTTGATTACAGGAGAAAAAGAACCGTGCTCTTGAAGTATTCCCTTCACCCCCACTTATAGTAATCCCTCCTGGCGTTGCAGAGATAGCATGGAATTGTTTCTGGCTAGATTATGATTCTGAGGACTCCGGGTTGATTTTTACAGTATGTAAGAAGAAAAAGTTAGAAAAGGTTTTTATGCATGTAAGTCACTCCTAAAAAGTTGTGTAGAAAAATGAAAGCTTATTTGAGATTATTATGTGCTATAAATATTCTGATCTATAAGTTCAATTTTTTTTTCCATTGGGGAAAATACAAATCAGAGTATCTTGAGTATTCTTTCTTTAAAAGAGAACATGGGTTCAATAATGGAGACTCACAAATGGAGGAATAAGAGAAATATGAAGTTTTGCTTTTGCAAACATACTGAAGTGGAAAATAGAAAAGCTGAAATCAACAATAACAACAACAAAAACGCCACATCCATTTGGACTAAAATACATGTATATATAACACAACTTTCCAAGCATAAAACGAAAACTCTCACCAAGGGAATGAAAAAAATACCTTTTGAAAAACTGCTGAAATAGGCCTATTGTTGAAATAGTTTTATTTCCCCTTTAGAAGGTCTATTTACTACAATTCTGGGAGTGAGAGGGATGATTTTGAATAAAGAATAGAGCCATTTAAGATGTTGTGCAGAGTACCAGAATTTATGAAGACTGGTTTGAATTAAAACTAAATGTCACCAGCAAGTAGGAGCCAACAGAAATGTACGTTTCATTTATTGTATTGGGAGCTAAGGAGGGCAGCAGGGATGAGCTTACATTTAACAGGACTCTCTTTTATATGGCACTAATTTTTATGTGGAGAACTTAGACCTTACAAAAGCATGTGTTTCTCTCAAATCTTCTTAGCTGTTCAGATTAATTCATTAATTGACAAGAGTTGACATCATACCTCCTACTTGGGTATAGTACAAGAGGAAAAAAATTAAAATATTTAATGCATTTATTCATTCAGCAAATTTGTATTCAGCAGCTGCTCTTTGCTGGGTGTCATTCCTGTCACTGTGAGGACACTGGCAAACCAAAGAGATTGGTCCTTGTCTTTGGGACTCCTAGAGTTGAGGACAGATAATGCATAGGAAGAATCAGGTGAGTTATCTTTCAACAATTAAAATGGAATGATTGGGGGATGCTGGGGGAACACTTCAGGTTGGGTGGTCAGGGAAGGCCACTGTGTCACACCTGAGAGCTCTCCAAGATGATTCCAGAAGTCCACCCCTTTCTCTTTTCAATTTATTGTATCTGTCTTTCCTCCTTCTGTGGCCTTTACCTTCTTGTAAAGCACTTACTATTATTATTTGCTTTGACGGAGGAACTGTAAAACTGAAATAAAGATGCAGTTAAAAAAAAAGAGCCTGAAATGCATTTTTTATAAATCAGAAGCTCAGGTGCACCATCCTTTTTTCAACTCCAAGAAAATCATAAATTATTTTATTAGAGGGAATTACCACAGCTCTAGATCTTAATGATTGCTGAACAGGAGGTTTTTTTCTTTTCTAAACATCAAGTTAGCTGCCAGTTTTAATTTTCTTTTGGAATTTACACATTAAAAACATTGTTTTAGCTGTTCAACAAAACTGTCTCTTATATCCAAGGGATGGTGCCAGAGTATGAAATGTGCATCTTGGTTTGATTTCTTCCCCTCCAGCCTGATTCACGAGTAAAAGCCAGCCTTGCATTTTATGACTGGAGGGCTAGTATTCAATACTAATAACTATGGAAAAAAAACAAATTCCAATTTTACTCTTTAATATCTTCATGCCCAGAAGTTTTCTATTCAGGCGTCTGAGAGTGGGTCGACCACATTTCCGGTATCTTTACTTGATGGTGCTGTGAGGTTCTTTCGCATAGATGATTAATGCAATAATTCTTGCACTTGGGATTTCAAAGACCAGTACAATGGCAAAAAAAAATTAACGCATATTTATTCAGTGTTTGTTATACGTCAGACACTGGTCTAGGGTATGGAGAAATGGCAGTGAACAACAACAAAAAGAAACTGGCAAAAATGATTGCCCTCTTGTAGAGTATATTCAAATAAGGGGGGGAGAAAGTAAATGTATAAACAAGTAATGCCTCATGGTGATAAGTACTCAGAAGAAAGATTGCAGAGAAGAGATAAAGGGATAAGCAAGGTGGAAGTGAGTCCTGCAATTTTAGACAGGAAAAAGACAAGCTTGGGAAGTTCTTCCTGAGTTGGTCACTTGTAAGGATAGATGGGAAGGGGGCTAGGCAGCAAGCCAATGTGAATGTCTAGGGAAGTTAGGAACTTCCCTAGTGCAAAGGCCCTGAGGCAAATGCTTGCCTAATTCCATCTAGGGCCAGTAGGGAGGCCAGTGTGGCTAGAGGGTGGGAAGAGGAAGGAAGAGTTGTAGGAGATGAGCTCAGAGATGAAGGGTGAGATCATGTAGGTTCTTATCAGCCCTTAGAAAGACTCTTTGGGTTTTGGTCAGAGTGAAGTGGAAAATCATTTCAGGATTGTGAGCACTAGAATGTCATGATTTGATTTTCTACAAATACACTAAAAGAGAGGAAAGGAAGAAGTAGAGAGACCAATTGGAGACTATTTCAGTAATCCAGGCAAGAGGAGATGGTGGGTTGGATCAGACTAGTAGCAGTAAAGGTGGTGAGAAGTCTGATTTTGGATACATTTTGAAGATAAACCAACACATTTTACTGCCAGTTTGGATGAGGGATGTAAGATAAACAGAATGGTTAACAATGAGTCCAAGGTTTTAGGCTGGAGCAAATGGAAGGATAGAGTTGCTATTTACAGAGAACAAGAGGATTGGGGGCTCTTTTAGGGGAAAGATCAGGAGCTTGATTTTGGACATACTCAATTTGAGGTGCTCATTATTACCAAAATGGAGACGATAAGCAGGATGCTGGGAATGAGTGGTCGAGATTGGAGGTATACATTTGGGAGCAGTCAGCACTAGTGTGCATGCTCTGCACTGATATGCACACTGGCTTCTACGTTGTTCTGTCTGTGACTTGCATAAAAATAGTCTTTGTGGCACCTTCAAATTGTAATCCAGTTCCAAGCCAGGTATCTCAGATTGTATCTCTGGCTTAATTCTGGATTGGGGGTGATTTGATTTATTTTTGTCAATATTCATTTTCCCCTCTGTTCAGTCACAACCATGCAGCTACTTATTATTCCTATTTCTTGAGGGGTGTGGGTAAAGGGTCTGATATTGATTTATAAGCCACAGCAAATTCAGCCCCTTTTGATACTCCTCTGAAAGGAGGCTCTCTTTGAGAAAGTTTTTGTTACCTTTCCAGTTAATCCATCTTAGAGTTGATTATAATTTTAAGCTTCATGATGCAATAATCTATAACATTTATATAGTGCCATTATCTCTTTCCAAGTACTTTATGAACATTTGTTAATTGCTTGCCGTATTACCCCACGAGGCAGGTAAAGTCCCATTTGCATTCATTGTAAGAGTTTCCTGACAGTGGGGATTTGAGCCGTGAAGTGACTGCCCATCAAACACCTGGCCAGTTAGGGATAGAGGGATCAATCAGCAAGTAATGATGATGGCTTCATCTTCATTAATTAATATTATTTTAGTACCTCCAGCATTCCCTCATAAAAGTCAGAACCCCAAATGAAAATGGTGTTTTCTTTCCCTAGAGACTGTAACGGATGCGATCAACTTGAACAGATGGGAGATATTAAGCACCAAGAGGGTGAATGAGGAGGTGGGCCCAAACTGCCTTCAACATTCTCATTATGAAAACAGAGAATTGTTACCCCAGAGGACTTTAAAGCAGTACTTAGTAACCTGGTAGAGTGAGAGTAGAAGCATTTGGCTGACTGGCTAAATACAAAACTTCATTTTTGCTTATAGTGTTAGAGATTTCAGGCAAAAAATGTTTTCTTTCATTTATTAAAATTCACTCATTGACTGATTTGTTGATACCTCCTATATGATAGGCACTTTATAGGCTCAAAGGCAGATAGCAATATATAAAAAAGACTAACATCTCTGCCTTCATGGAAATTTCTAGAGCGGGAATAATGATAATTAACATTTCAGTACTTACTATGTGCCAGACACTTTCTATCACTGCATTTAACAAATCATTTGATTACAACAAGAGTCTTATCATTATCAATATTTTACAGAGAAGAAAACTGAGATATAGAGAGAATAAATTACTTGCTCAAATGCATAGTTAATACATTATGGGGCTTTAGTCCAAAGATAACCACTATGCTTTAGTTTAGTTTTATTTTCTGCATGAAGTATTGTAGTTGAAGGAGATGATTAGTTTGAAGAATCCACCTTAGCTACATACAATGATAAATTTCAACATACTGATCTTAAATTCTTAGGAGCCAAAATGCATGCATGCAGAATTATGTCACAGGTCAAAGGAAAAAATTGGTCTTACATTGTTTTTCTCCAAGTTTTTGCCTTGAGCAAGTACAACTTGAGTATTCCATTCTCACATCTTCTCTTTCCTGTTCATCTATATTTAATGAAGATTGCTGGCTCTTTCAGATAAGTTTTATGTCTAGGATATTTGGAAATGATAATTCAGGGCTGGCCTTGAGCAAAATGGTAAAGTATGTTGAGTTAGGAATCTTAGATGCTCTCAGTTTCTCACCATTTTCCCACCCTCTTTTTACTCACTCACTTATACAACACCTTTTCTGTTCCTTTGTACAAATGAAATGAATAAAAATAGCTTAAATTTAACTCTCTCCCCAGTCAATTACTTTACTTTTATAGATTTTATAGATTTACTTTTTATGAAGAAATTTCATGCAAGCATTTAGAACCTGGGCAAGTCTTGGGAGGACTTCTCAAAATGCCTTTTTACTATTGGTGAAGAATGACACAGGGAAAAGAGCAGGAACTTTCAGGTTGGATAGAATTGAGTTTTACTTCTGACCCAATCCTTTACAAATTGTGGGGCACTGGAAAGAATAGTAAAATCATTGCAGTCTCATTTTCCCAATCTAACTAGGATTCAATAATTTCTAGTGTATGTGAATTGAGCTTCTCTGTGTCTAGTTACTTGATAGGTGCTTAATAAATAGTTGCTGTTTGTTAATGTTCATTCAACAGATGTTTGAATTCTTGTTATGTATGGGCTAGGTTCTGGGGAGATAAATTATGGTGCAATGCAAATACCATGAGTGCTAATGAAAAAGACAATAAAAATGGTCTTCATTCTGAGCCTCAAACAATAGAGTAGGTGTCCCCTCTTCCATCTCGTCTCCATTTTTTTCCTTTGCATTGATGAGAACAGTAATCACTAAAACACTTTTCTTTGTGTCTTTTATAATTCCCTGTTTTAGTAAGAATTGACTCTACTGATCATCTTGCCCCTTGTCTGTTCTAAGCTTCAAGAAATTGGCCATGAATATTGTTCCTTCTGTTCCTGTGGGTTCCTCATCACTGCTTTTCCCTGCTCTGTTCCTCTGTAAGATATGGAGCCTGGGCATTCTGAGTGCAGTTCCTACATTATTAATGTCTGCACTGCACTGCCTCCCTGAAATAGTGATGATCTGAATTAGGCTGTCTTGGGAATAAAGTAGAGGAGTGGATTCTAAACCTAAGTATAAATGGGAAGCAAAGGAGAGGAAGCTGTTTCACAGAGTTCAAACCTGCAAGGATGGCAGCACCATTAACCAAAACCATGAACACCTCCGATGTGTGAGGGAAAGGGTGATAGACCATGAAAAAGACTAGAATTTGGAAGGAAGATCTGGGCTGAGAAGGGAGATGAGGTATGTATCAGGTAGCCTTCTACATAGTGATGATATTTAATTTCATGAGGCTGGATTAACATACCAAGAATACCAAGGGGGTAGGTAGAGAAATACAAAGAGTAGAGAGGAGGATCAAGGTACTGCTGTGGGGAAACTCACATTTAGTGAAGGAGCAGCAAGAGGACCTGAGTTAGGTCAGACACCTAGGAAAATAATGGTCCTATGGGAAAAGGGAGTTCTGGAAGATAAATTGACAAGACTGTGAATGGTTACATATGGAATTAGAAGAATGAGAACTGAAAAATAGCTCTAGAATTTTTTGGTGAAGTGGCCATTAGAAATCTTCAAAGAAAGAGATGGGCATGGTAGTTTGAACAGATTACTGTGGAATAAGAGTGAGTGAGCAATCTAAGGAAAGGAGCTAAGTATGAGCTACTCTTTCAAGACTTGAATGGCGGAGAGAGGGAGGGAAGCAGAGAGACAGAAAGCCAAAGAAGACTTCAGAGTGATGGTACCTCAGGGTAGGTAGATTAGGAGACAACTTTAGGTGGAGGAAAAGGTTCCAGTAGACAGAGAGTAAATACAATCTTAAGTCTCTTCTTAGAGAAGAGTGGGCCCGGGCGTGGTGGCTCACGCCTGTAATCCCAGTACTTTGGGAGGCCAAGGGAGGTGGATCACCTGAGGTCAGGAGTTCGAGACCAGCCCGACCAACATGGTGAAACGCCATCTCTACTAAAAATACAAAAATTAGCCAGATGTGGTGGCATGCAACTGTAGTCCCAGCTACTTGGGAGACTGAGACAGGAGAATTGCTTGAACCTGGGAGGCGGAGGTTGCAGTGAGCTGAGGTCGTGCCACTGCACTCCAGATTGGGCAAAAGAGTGAGACTGTGTCTCAGAAAAAAAAAAAAAAAAAAAGAAGAAGAAGAGTGATAGTTCTTTGTTTTAGGACTAGTGAAAAGAAAATAGATTAGATATAGGATAATCTATTGAGGAGGATGAAGTAATGATAGAATTTAAGGAAAGAGTAAAAACTTAATATAGGCATTTTGTTATCTTTATAGTTGTTTCAGTTAGTTTTATTTTTGAACAATAATTATTCCAGATGAGAAGGATAGTAGTTATTTATATTGGAACACATCACCCATCTCACAGTTTTCATTAGTAATGCTTGTAGGCATATATGTACTTTAACATTAAACTTTTACCAGCTTAATTAATAACAGGACTATCAATGTAGAAATTTTTGACTTTACTTTTGAATTTTTCGTTATTATCATCTTGAGTATATAGAATTGCTTTTCGATTTTCTATTTCTATTCACACATTCATTTTAATTATATTTTATGATAAAGAATGGTGAAGGTTTTAAGAATTGAAATTATCTAAGGGATCATACAGTTTAAGCCACAGATTAATTTCAACTTATTAGCAGCCAGTAGTTTTGTGTCGGTTGTGTTTTACTGAAGACATGGCCTTCCTTAGAGTGATGGAATAATCCTATTTCCACAGCTCTGTCTCTAGAGAGACAGGTAGAGATCTGAGATTTTGGACAGCCCAGTTATTATTCATGTGGCTTCAGTATATTCTCACGTCACAGGGTATGCTAATATCTGTCTCATGCAGTTCTTGAAGCAAATATGAGAAATTATACTTTTTAAATCCTTTAAATAGTTAAAATGTACAAAGATTCATATTTAATGTTACTTACAGGCCTTGGAGAAACCCATTGGCTTATTTTGATGATCACTATTTTACAAGTTTTGAATTCTGTTAATTATAAGATGTGATGTATTAATTTAAAAATAAAAATTTTAGGCTGGGCGTGGCAGCTCATGCCTGTAGTCCCAGCACTTTGGGAGGCTGAGAAGGGCAGATCACTTGAGGTCAGGAGTTTGAGACCAGCCTGGCCAACATGGCAAAACCCTGTCTTTACTAAAAAATACAAAAATTAGCCTGGCATGGTGGCGCGTGCCTGTAATCCCAGCTACTTGGAAGGCTGAGGTAGGAGAATGGCTTGAACCCAGGAGGCGGAGGTTGCAGTGAGCCGATATCACGCCACTATATTCCAGCCTGGCCAACAGAGTGAGACTCCATCTCAAAATGAAAAAAAAAAAAAAGCAAACAAACAAAAAACAAACAAAAAACAAACACCAAAAAAAAACCCAAACAAAAAAAACAAACAACAAAAAAGATTTTAATTTTATTAATTTAGTATCCAATGTTTTTATTTAAGCACTCAACATAAGTTTAACATTCTGTGTTTACCATGTTACCCACTTCCAAGATAGATGATAAAAAGTGTTAGATTCAAAGACAAGTGTTTACAAATACCTACTATATGCCTAGCATTTTATGCAGTGTTTGGTGGTGTGGAATCTTATTTGAGAATAAAATTAAATATAAAATTGTCCTTTTTAAGACTGAATAAAGATGGCTAACTAGATGTAGCCAGGAGAAGCATCTGCCACTAAGGGAGCAGGGCATCAGGAAGACTGGCATACTCCAAGAAGATTATCGGAGGGAAGGCATTGAGAATGGATAAAGGGAGGACACAGATGCTTGGCTGAAGGGGGAGGAAGCTGGGAACCCTGGACAGGGCTACTGTGCCATGCACAGGGACTCATTCCTGGCCCAGTGACTCTTGGGGAAAGAGTAAGTTGAACAGGCAAGCAGTAACATGCTCTCACGACGGATCTCTGGAATCCTGGCAGCAGGAGACCCCACCACTCCCATGGACACTTGAGCTGGAAGGGAGAGCTTCTTAGAGGTAGTAAGGGCATGACTCCAGCGTCTGTGGAGCCCTGAGGGTTTGGTACAGGAATTTCTGCAATGGAGCATGGCCAGGAACGCCCATTCCTCAGGCTCATCATGCTTCCCTAGGAGACATTAGCCTTAAGGGAGCTGTTAGACTGGAACAGAGCAGGGTGATCTTGCTTGTGAGATCAGCCTATTCCAAACTGAGTGCACTCCTGTCTTCTGGCCTCTCTCGGGGCCCCAGCCTGGCTGAGCTTGTTTGTGGTGCAGCCCCAAATGCCCAGTTGGGCCACATCATAGCTCTTTTGCTGGTAGACTGTGCCTGATCATCAAAGAGCTCCAGTAGAGTAGCCCCCACTGACACACACCCTTCCTTATACCATATGCAAAAATAAACTCAAGATGGATTAAAGACTTGAATTCAAAACCTAAAATTATAAAAACCCTTCAAGATAACTTAGGAAATAACATTCTGGTCATAGGACCTGGCAAAGATTTAATGACGAAGCTGCCAAATACCATTGCAAGAAAAAGAAAACTTGACAAGTGGGACCTAATTAAATGAAAGAGCTTCTTCAGAGCAAAGGACACTATCAACAGAGTAAATAGACAAGCTACAGAATAGGAGAAAATATTTGCGCTCTATGCAATATCTGGAATTTATAAGGAACTTAAATTAACAAACAAAAAACCAACAACTCCCTTAAAAAGTGGTCAAAGGACATGAACAGACAAGTTTAGAAGGAAGACATACATGTACCCAACAAGCATATGGAAGAATGATCAACATCACTAATTATTAGAAAAATGCAAATGGAAACCACAATGTGATACTATAACATCTCATACCAGTCGGAATGGCTATTACTATAAAGTCAAAAAATAACAGATGCTGTTGATGTTGTAGAGAGAAAGTAATGCTTATACAGTGCTTCTGGGAATGTAATTTAGTTCAGTTATTGTGGCGAGCAGTTTAATGATTTTTCAAGGAACTCAAAACAGAATTACCACTTGTCCCACCAATCCCACTATTGGGTATATACCCAAAAGAATATTAATCATTCTACCATAAAGACACATGCCTATATATGTTCATCGCAACACTATTTACAATAGCAAAGCCATAGAATCAACCTAAATGTCCATCAATAGTAGACTGGATAAAGAAAGTGTGGTACGTATACACCATGGAATACTGTGTAGCCATAAAAAAGAAAAAAATCATATTTTTTTGCAGCAACATGGATGGAGCTGGAGGCTATTATCCTAAGTGAACAAACACAGGAACAGAAAACCAAATACTGCATGTTCTCACTTATAAGTGGCAGCTAAACCTTGAATCCACATGGACCCAAAGAAAGGAACAACAGACACCATAGCCTACTTGGAGGTGGAGGGTGGGAGGAGAGTGAGGATCAAAAACCTACCTACTGGGTACTATAATTATTACCTGGGTGATGAAATAATCTGTACACCAAACCACCATGACATACAATTTACCCATATAACAAACCTGCACATGTACCGCTGAACCTAACATAAATGTTAAAAAGTTATACATAAAATTGCCCAAATGCAAATATCTATTACTCATATCTATACTGTATGGTTGAAGAACAGGGAAAATCATTATGCATTGTTGTAGTTTGAGACAACTCCATTACAAAGGAGGCTCAAGATAGATTCTGATGATGGGGAGAATTTGAGGTAAGTGAAAAGGTGAATAGGCAGTTTCAACTAGCACCAGCCTATAGTATTTCATTTTAGCTTATAATCATAAATTGTTTATAGCAATTTCTGTCTGTACACTTAGACACGGGTATAAAAATCTCAAACATCTTAAATTTTAATCATTAGGTGTCATAGCAACGTCAGCACTCAAACACAGGACTCTGCACACAGACAAGTTCATAGCTGGTAAAGTGTTGGAAAGTTCAGGGGGAGACAACTCTCATTAGATGTGATAGGGAGCCAACTTCTGCCATCGTTTTGGGGAAATGATGCAGGAAAGTTCCTTTTATTTCTTCAAATAGTAAAAAATGCTTATGTATCACTGAGGGGCTACAATGAACTATTTACTTATTTTCAGTAAAAACAAACAAATGATCAATTGATTGGACAAAGCTCCTGAATAATAAAAAAGCTTTATTAGAAGGTTTAATTTACACATAGTATTAACCCATTTATGCCTGCGGTTGCAATTTTTTGAATTTTTTGCAATCAGACCTTGGCGATGATCTTAAACAGTAGGATGTAAATAACTCCCACATTCTTAGCATTCCAATAATGGAACACTAGGCATAAATATTAAGGGCCAGGGCATGAATCCAGTGGGAGAGAAACAAATTTCCCCACAGTGTGTTGTTTCCAGAAGAGGGAGGGACACTAGGAACACAGAGCAGCAAACATCCGCCCTTATATAGTTGAAGTCTGTGTCCATTGTAGTATCTGATATTCCCGTACGTAATACTGTAAGTGGAAAATTTCCCTGAGTTTGGTACTTGTAAAAATGCTTTGCTTTGAGAATTGAGTCATAGTATGCCCAAATCTAACAGCATTGTCTGTTGGATTAATGAAAGTACAGGAAGGCTGCTTTGACAGCTCACTATTGCAATAGAACCCAGGTGCTTTATGTCTTTTTCCCTCCTCCATTCTCTCTATAATTCTCCTGTTCCCTCTCTAGGTTTCTTACTTCCTGGTCACAAAATGGCTGCCGAAGTCCATAAGCTAAATCCTAATGTGAGTGAACATGATCAAGGTAGGAAACAGAAGATCTGTCAGGGTTACAAAAGGGACAGATTTTAGGTTCTTTTATCTTTTTGTAAGGCACAAAAAATCCCAGGAAAACTCCAGCAGATTTGTTTTATTTAAAAATTCGGTATCATTGAGGTATAATTTATAGTAACATTCACCAAGATTAAGGATGCAAATTAAGCTTTCACCAATGTATACAGTCATGCAACCCATACCACAATAATTCAGAAAGTCAAGATAGAGTACCATTTCTTTAACCGACTATCTTAAAAATTCTTCTGTCCATAATGATATTTGTATAGAGCTGATCCTTAGATCTTAATGAAAGCTGACATTTCAATAATAGCTAATCTTTATTAAGTGCTTTCTGTGTGCTAGTCACTACACTAATGTTTGCCACACTTTACCTCCTTTATTATTTTTGAAGTTTGATCATGTTTGGACTTGATATTTATCAATATATAATAGTTGCACATATTTTTGAGGTACATGTGATATTTCGATACATGTTTATAATATGTAATGATTGTATCAGGGTAATTGAGATAATCATCACCTGAAACCTGTATCTTTTATTTGTGCTAGGAACATTCATTCTTTTCTTCTAGCTATTTTGAAATATACAATAAGTTATTATTAATTATAATCTCTCTAATATCAAATATTAGAACTTATTCCTTCTATCTAATAGTATTTTTGTATCCATTAACCAACTTCTCTTCATTCCCCACTCCTCCTTTCCTTCCCAGCCTTTGGTAACCATCAATCCACTCTTTTTTAAATTTTTAAAACAGCAGCATAGAATAGGTTTTATTAACAGGGCTGTCACTAGTATATATGGTGTATTTGTGTGAAATAGCAAAGGGTAGCCCCTCTGCTTGGATGCAGGAGACAAGGCTGTCTAAGTAGACCAGGGATGGAGTTTGGCTTTCTCTTTCCTCCTAGACATCTTTGTGGAGTACATAAAATTTTGGATGAGAAAGCCTACTCAACTGTTCCCGTTTTATAATACAAAAACTTCAACTTTAGAGGAGTGAATCAGCCCATTCTAGTTTATGCAGCATGGGGCGTATCTTGGCTTTTGATGATGGGATTTTATTCACTGGTATCATTGTTAAGTCTATGGAGAAATGTCCTTGGCTAAACAATTCCTTGAATTTCTTTGTAAGATTTTGCCTCCTTCTTATTCAGTATTTACCAACTCTTACATATTTATTCAGGCTTATCTCTTTCCTCATTGATTTAATAGCATGAAATCATTTTCTCAGTTATAACACTATTAACTATTATTGCAATTACTATTTGTTCATAGAACCTCATATAATTTTATCTTTTTAGTGGAAATTAGATATAGCTGATAATATTACAATAATTTTAAATTGACTAGTTACTAGCATTTCATGTAAATTTGTTTGCATTGAGACACGTGAAAAGCTCTTATGTATTAAGTTTCCTATTTTTGATAAAATTATTCTTGCTAAAAAACTCAAACCTCTTTGAATATACATGTATTTTCTTTTATTAGTCATAGATAGTTATTAGGTTTTAATGAAATTGCTTGATGATGCCATAACATAAAATGAAAAATCTGGTCAAACATTATATGCCTGGAACAATTTTTATATAATTTTATGATTTTAAAGCTGTCATGGATAGTCCCAGGGGAAATATCTTTGGGAATTGCAAAACAATTGTGTTTGAAATGAATTGTTTAGAGTTGGTTAGTCTACACTGGATTTTCAAATATAAATTGTACTGGAATTTTCTTCTTTTTCTTGAGGTTGAGAGAAAGTAAATTAAAATTAGATGTTCATTTCTTGCTATTTAAGTCCATGGTTTACCCATCTTGCCTACTGAAAAATAGGTATAATTAGATCTCTTGCATAATTTACTCACTATTCTATAAAAAGCAGTGTACAGATTATTGAGAAACTAGAAATGATGGCAGAAAAGTCTCCCGATTAGAAAATGATCGATTAATTTGTTGCAGTTGATAAAATATTAGTGTCTATATTCAGATTCTAGGACTATAAAGCAAATAACTTCACCTGTAGCATGTATTGTGACTTAAAATCAAAGAGGCTGTCAATTACTTTGAGGCACACTCCTTTTTGGGGTAAACTTATTTTACTGTTTTTTTCTGTTTTGTGTTTGTTTCTCAGCAACAATATTTCTCCTTGAAATTTCACAGCAGATCTCTTAAGCAAAAGAAGATTTTTTTTTTTAACTACACTTTTATGTTTGGGACAGCACATTACTCTAGAGCTGTAGATCTTAAAGTGTGGCTTTTCTTTCAACTTTCAGTAGCATTAGCATCACCAAGGATCTTGTTAGAAATGCCAGTCCTAGGGGACCATCCCAGAGCTGTCCGATCAGAAACTGGGATGGGCCCAGGAATCTGTGTTTCAATAAATCCTTCCAGGGGATGATGATGCATGCAAAAGTTCGAGAACTACTGTTCTAAAGGAACTTAATACATCCAAATTAACTATGTTGCTATTAATTATTTGCAATATTTTAGCCTGGGTAGAATTGCTAAGTCACAGGATATGAACATATTCAACAATACCAGGTAATGCTAAATAGTTTTATAAGTACCTGTTCCAATTTAGAGTTCTACCAGTAGTAAATAAAAATCTTACTGTCTTATCCCTAACTGTGTCAGACATTTTAATTTTTATAGATCTGGTGGGTGTGAAATGGTATCAAGTTATGGTTTGAATTTGAATCTACTTAATGACTTTTAGCATCTTTTCATGTATTTATATGTTTGTTGGTCAGTTACATTTATTTACACTTAAGTAAATTGCTTATTTTTATCTTATCAGTTCTCAATTGGGTTTTCTTTTTTGATTCATAGGAGTTTTAAAAATATTCTGGATACTAATCCTTTGTCATTTTGTGTTTCATATCTTTTCCCTGGTTATGATTTTGACTATCACTTTTCCTGATGTATCATTGAAGAAGTTCACAATTTTAAGGTAGTCAAATCTATTTGTCTTAATTTTGTTCCTATGATTTGTTTAAAAACTTACTCTTTATGCAGAAAACAGAACTATTCTCTGATTTTTTTTTCTAGAAGGTGTTTAAGGCTTTGTCTTTAACATTTAAGTTTTTATTATACATAAGTATCACATATGTACCTATATATAAAATTATATATGTATACACACATTTTACTGAGGTTTAATTCACATATAATAAAATACATACCTATTTAAAGTGTATAGTTTGGGTTTTGACAAATGCATACACTCGTAACCACTACCACAAGCAAGAGGTCGAATATTTGCATCACCTCAAAAAGCTCCCTTTACAGTCTGTTGCTCCCAAGTCACCTGGCCCCAACCAACCACTTATCTGTTGAATAACCAGAGATTAGTTTTGTCTTTTATAAGAATTTCATATAAACGGAAACTTACAGTGTGTATTATTTTGCATCTGGCTTCTTTCACTCAGCATAATGTAAATGAGATTTATCCATGTTGTTGTATGTAGCAGTAGCTGTTTCCTTCTTACTTTCTATTTGCTGAGTCTCATTCTATTCTATTGTGGGATAGTCCATAATTTGTGCATCTATTTACCCATTAATAAACTGTTGCAGTTTTTTTTAAATTATTTTGAAAAAAGTTGTCATGAATATTTGTATTCAAGTTGTTGTATGAGCATATGTTTATATATCTTGAAAAAACAGCCAGGAATAATAAGTTAATATTTAACTTTATAAAAAACTACCAAAATATTTCAAAAGTAGTCCTATTTTGTATTCCACCAGCCATGTATGAGAATTCAAGTTTCTTCACATTCTCTCCCACACTTGGTATTGATAGTCATTAATTTTAGGCATTTGAATGTGTGTTTAGTAATATCTCATTGTGGCTTCTGTTTGCAGGAAATTGGTTTTTGTGATGTATGGGAGGGATTCAATTTCATTCTTTTTTTTCATCTGATCAACCAATTGTCTCAGTACCATTTAGTATATAATACAAAATTCCTCATCGATATGCAATGATAGTTCTATCATATCCTGAGATGATACTAAAACTGTAAAAACTGCTATGAAAATGGGCACTCTACTTTTTATAGAGCTTGGAGTAAAATGTAAAAGTTTAACAGGCATATTTAATTTCATGCTTTAAGTTAATCAATATTTTAATAAGCTTCCTTTAGAAATTAGAATGCTTGTTAGTAAAGTCATCACTTATTCAACCCTAACTTATTCTCTTCTTGCTCAGTGTCTTATCTATTTTTTTCTCTTTTAAAAAATTCTTAGCCTTGAAGCTTTAGATGTGTTTTTTAAAAATCCTATATTTTATCTATAATTTTCAGTGGTCTATACTTCATCTGTACTCCAGATATGTGGTTAACAATATTGCTGGCTGTGAACGTCCTCTTCGTTTTAAGATTTATTCTTCCTCTGAGTAAAAGAGAAGTAGGTGTCCTAGAGAGAGAATTTGAAAAATATGGAAAAAATGAAAGTATGAAGGTGAAAACTAAAAATCACCTGTAATCTTTCCTCCCAGACATAATCATAATCTGCATTTTTAGTTTCCATTTGTTTATCAAAATTAGACATACAAATGTTAAAGAAAAAGTAATTTGGAATCATTTAGTGTTCAAGGTTAGTCTTTAGCACTTTCTCCTTCTCAATTATATCTTTAGTGTACGCTTTAACATTCTTTAAGTATGTAGTTTGTGCTAGAAGCATTATTAAGACTTTTGCATTTGACTACTGTTAAATTGTAAAATTAAAACCTAATGAAAAGTATTTACAGAATTGTGACTGTATATTTGGAAATTTTAATATAAATAAAATTATTTTAAGACATAAGGCCAATAATAAAATATATGTAGCTATAGTCACAATTGGGAAAATATGTTGTAAAATACATGATTTGCAATATTATTTGAGTTAAGAACTATGTTTGGTCTATTTCTGAGTCAAGAATGTTAAATTGTGCTAATGTTTAGTTTTATATCACATTTTTTAGTAGAAACCCTATAGTGCAGTAAATAGTGTAAATTGAATTAATTTGTTTTTATGTTTCCATGACAAAATTTATACTTTCATCTTCAAAGTAGATGCTTCAAATTTATTTTCTAATATTTAAATTCCCTAGTTAAGAGTGGAGACAAGAAGATTTAAAATGTCTAATCTCTTAGGGTTTAGAAATACAAGCAATTATTGTGTGTGTTGGATTTATTACTTTTGTAGATTAAAATCAATGGGATTTTTGCAATTAATGACAAAATTGCATATAATGGTCTTTTGGTATTAATAGACTTAGTAAGCCATCTGTAGCAGTTTTCAATTCTCAACATAATTGCATAGAGTAGTTTGTTTTCCAAGGAAAAATCTCTAGACAAACTATGCCTCATTTTACTTCTATTTTAAGCTAATCCCCTGACTGAATCTTAGATGTATGAGTTACTCTTCTTTGAAGATTTGGGAGTTTGCAGAAGTGTGGAGATAATAAAATCATGATTTGATAAGTTGCATACTGTTCAGGGATGGCAGGTTCTTCCTATACCAATGTCAGTGTTTTATTGTTTCTGTATGTGTGTGGGTGGGGTAGGGGAAAGGTGAAAATAACATTCTCTCCTTCCATTTGGGTGCACAAGTTTATCATTTAGACTTAAGAATGTGTCATCTATCTAGAAATCAGTTGGATGAAATGGAATCTGTGAACTCACATTTAGTTATGTGACACAGATGGTCATTTTTCTCCTAACATGTCAATGTGTGCCTGTGAATGAAATCCAAAGACCCTTTTGTTTTTCCTAGTGTGAACTTCAGGTACAAGAGTTGAGTTGTTCTTACTCAATTCATAGTAATCTCATTGTTATATTTTGGTTGTTTGACTCTCCAAATCTCGTTGAAATTTAATCCCTAATGTCAGATGTGGGGCCTAATAGGAGGTGATTGGGTCACGGGTGCAGATCCCTCATGAAAGTCTTGGTGCTGTCTTCGCTGCAGTGAGTGAGTTCTTGCTCTATTGGTTCCCAGAGAGCTGGTTGTTAAAAAGAGCCTGGCACCTCCCTCCTCTCTCTTACTTCCTCTCTTGCCATGTGATTTCTGCACAGACCTGCTCGCTTTCATTTTCCCTGAGTGGAAAAGCCTGAAGCTTTCATGAGATGCCCAGTCTTCTGGCCAGCAGAATTGTGAGCCAAAATGGACTGTTTTTCTTTATAAATTACCCAGTCCCAGGTATTTCTGCACAGCAACACAAACTGAATTAAGACACTTATCATTGCTTTACCTTTTATCTTCTACGGTGTTTTCTTTCTTTTATCTTCTACCCTGATTCTAACCTATATATAGGCATCATCTTCATTGAATTTAACATATAACATACCATGTTATATGTTGTTCATATGTTCATTTAGGTATATGTCTGTAACAAACATGCTGCTTTATTTTGGGGTGTCTTCAGTTTATGTAGATGATTTTATGCTACAAAATACACTCCTAATATTTTCTCTCAACATTAAAAATATTTATTATTAAATATTATTTGTTATTTTATGTTTCCATTATATGTATTTATTACATTTTACTTACCCATTCATTTAGTGATCAAAACCTTGTAGGCCTCCAGCATCTTGGTATGAGAAAAAATGCTTTAACTATCATCTTCATATGTGGCTCACTCTTTAAGGACGATTGTTGAGTGCTGGGATGTTCTCACACTCAATGTTCTTCCACCAGTAGTTCACGAGGCTTTCAGTAGTTGATGCTATCTGACCTTTTACATTTTGCCATTCTAATAATGTATGTAAAGTGGCATCTCCTTTTAATTCGCATTTCTCTGATTACTAATAAGGCTAAACATCATATTCTTATAAACCATTTAAGGTTTTCATTTTTGTAAATTGCCTATTCATAGCCTTGCTCATTTTACTTATAGATTTCCATTTTTTTCTTGATGATTTATGAGAATTCCTTTTATATTTTTGTACTTATTCCCTTGACTGTCTTAAACATTGTGAATGTCTTCCATTAGTCTGTCATTCATATTTTGTTTATGACATGCTTCACTGAACATGAATCTTTCATGAAATTTGATTGCATTAAAATTAATTTTTCCCTTTATAGTATCTATTTTGACTATTTTAAAAACTGATTTCCTAATCTACCCCCAAGGTCTCAAATATATTCTTTTGTATTTTTTCTTTAGCTTTATAGTTTTGTATATACTGTGTTTTTCCATTTATATACAGAATTTACTTCATAATGCATCTTATTCCTACTGATTTATGATGCCTCTTTATTACAAAACTAATATATTGTTTCCCACTGGCTTAATAGTCTATTCTTGCACCAATTACTACCTATTTATTGATCCATCTCTATCTATTCATCTATCCATCTGTCTATTCTATCAACTATCTTTAATTGTTTGGCTTCGTAATATCTGCTAAAGCAAGTTATTCATTTTCTTTTTCTAAACTGTCCTGCTGACTGATTCTGTGTTCTTACTTATAATTGTGGGAAGAGCCTATGAAATTGCAAATTTTACTCAATTCTGTTTTTGGAATGACATGATATAAATAGAGTAGTCTGAGTGACAATTGATGTGTTTTAACCATTTAATGGTTTCATCCTTGAACATAGCATAACTTTCTACTCAGTTTTAAAAATCTTTAATAGAGTTATTTTTTCCTGCACTTGTTAGGAAGACATTTTATTTATTTGTTTTTCAACTTTTGAGTTCAGGGGTACATGTGCAGGTTTGTTATATAGGTACACTTGTGTTATGGGCGTTAGTTGTATAAATTATTTCATCACCCAGGTGTTAAGCCTAGTACCCATTAATTATTTTTCCTGATCCTCTCCCTCTTCCCTCTCTCCACCCTCCTATAGGCCCCAGTGTGTGTTGTTCCCCTCTATATGTCCATGTTTTCTTATCATTAAGTTCCCATTTATAAGTGAGAACATGTGGCATTTGGTTTTCTATTCCTGCATTAGTTTGCTGAGGATAACGGTTCCACCCATGTCTGTGCAAGGACATGATCTCATTCTTTTTTATGGCTGCATAATATTCCATGGTGTATATGTACCACATTTCTTTACTCAGTCTAACATTGATGGGCATTCCATATCTTTGCTATTGTGAATAGTGTTGCAATGAACATATGCATGCCTGTGTCTTTATAATAGAAAAATTTATATTCTGTTGGGTATATATCTTGTAATAGGATTGCTAGGTCAAATGATAGCTCTGTTTTTCAGTCTTTGAGGAATCACTACACTGAAGAAAACATTTTATTTAGGGTGATTCCTAGATATTTATTTGATATTTTGCTGTGGCAGTGACTAGTATTTTGTTTTCTATTATATAATTTAGTTAGTTGTATTGGTAAAGATATGTCTATGGATATTCTTATTAATAGTTTACTTACAAGATTTCATAAACTTATTAGTAAAAGTATCTACTTTCTTCAATGTTCTAGGTAAGAAATAATATAATCTAAAAATTACAATTTCACCTTCTTCAAAATCTTCATACTTCTAACCTATTTTCTTTGTTTTGTGGCATTAATCAAGTCTTCTAGTACTACATTAAATAGTGGTGGTATTTCTGATATTGTACTATTGATTATGTATTTGCTGTAGAATTTTGGGCAGATATTTATCAAGTTAGGAGAGCCTTCTATTGTTTCAGTTTTTCTCAGTTTTTTTGTTGCTTTGTTTTGTTATTTGGTTTTCTTTAAATAATCCTGTAAAGTATTGAGATTTTTCAGATGCCTCCCTGCATCCATTGGAATGATCATATATTTTTTCTGCTTTAGACCATTAATATGGGGCATTATGACGACTAGATTTTCTTATGTTACAGTTGCTACATTCCTGGGATAAAATCTGTTTGACTGTGATACAGACATTTTAATATAGCATTAGAACAGTAAATGTATATCTTATTTAGGATTTTGGGATCTATGTTCACATACTAAAATGATCCTATAATGTCATTTTCTTATATCCAGGCTTTGGTTTGAGGTTAATAATTAGCTTTGTTATATGATCAGGAAGCTTACATTCTTTTTCTACTTACTAGAATTTTTTGAATAAGATAGAGATCATCATTGTCTTCATAGCATCTGATAATGAACCTAGGGTTGATTCACAGGGAAGTTATTGACAGCTTTATGTCTATCACAATGTGATAGACACACACAGTGGTAAATACATAACAACCACCTTTCCAGGGTTTGTGTTGGGGGTGGGGAGTAGGGAAAATTCCTGATTTAAGTGTTTTCCGGTTTTTGTAGTGTAAATATTGCTACTACGCCCTATTTCAAGCTATCAATGTGAGTCGCTGAATGTGAAGTTGCAGAGATATGCACCGTCAGCTCCTGTGACCTGGCACAGGCTGGCTCCAGCCAACCACCTGTCTGTCAACACAGAGACTATGGCAACCTCTAGAGAGGAGTGGCAGCTCCTTCACTTTCACCTTCCTCGTCTTTAGCACATTCCTTTTTTGGCCAGCTCTAACTCAGAAGAGGGTTCTAGGAATCTTATTTCTGGTTTAACAAGTTATTTTTGGCTTCATGGAGAACAAACTGCCATTATTAGTATTTTTAATTTATTTGGTGGTTATTGCCCTCATCAGCTTTACTATTTGGACATTTTACATGTTTCCAAACATGTACCCTTTTCATCTAGGTTTCAAATTTGCTGGCATATAGTTTTCCACAGCATTTTTATATTTTTAATACTTACTAAAATTATTTACCCACTTTAATTATAATATATACATTTTAAATTCTTTTTCTTGATATGTCTTGCCAAAAGTTTGCAGTTGTATTAAAATACTTTTCATTTAATCATCTCTATTTTACTGATTTCTATCCTTATCTCTATTTTCCTTCTTTCATTTCCATTACATTTTTCTTGTTTTGATTTTTGCTCCTTTAACCTGTTTATAATATCCCTTTTTGTTCATTATGATGTTTCTCTCCCAAAAGTTTGTGTTACCTGATATCAATTTGTTTCCCTGACTTTATTTAGCATTATAGTTACTTGGTATATCTGATTTATTCCTTTTGACAGGATTCATGACTACAACCCCAAAATACGGCACTTCTGCCTGTGTGGAAACAACAGAAGCAGGAAGATTACTCTCATTTTTCTCTGGCCTTTTTCCCTTGAAGCAGACTATAAAGAAGAATCTGACCTTCCTCTGAAGGAAACCTTCATTCCAGACATACCCTCCCTATATCCAAAGAACATCTTTATCTTTAAAGACACAGAGATGTCAAGAAGAATCTGAACAAACAGGCTTTGCCAGATCCCCCAGTTTACTAATATTGAACCATACTCTTTTGTTCTTCAATCATACTTCTGCATGATGTCCATAAAAATACACAGTTTTCCCCATTCCTTTTGGGTATTTATTCCCGAAAGCTTCTGTGTCATGTAAAACTTACATTAAATAAATTTGTATGCTTTTCCTTGTGTGCTTTTCCCTTGTGTCTTTTGTTATGAGGGTTTTGGCCATGCTCTTAGCGATGGGTGAACAAAGAAATCTTCTTTTCTCCCTTATACTTTATTTTCTTTTTATAAGAATTCATTTACATTTATTATGAGTTTCCGTAAGTTTGGATTTATTTCTACAACTTCATTTGACAATTGAATCTGTCATTTGTTCAAACATTATAAGGATTTGAAGACACTTCAACATATACTGCTCACTCCCAACTAATATATTCTTGTTATCAAATATTTTACTACTGTTTTTTTCTAACCATGCAAATTAGATGACTTCATAATCATCATCACTATATCCCAGAGTAAATTTTTATCCACATTTATCATTTCTTTTTGTTCAATATTCCTTCTTGCATTTTAGACCTTTCTTCAGCAATAGTTTCCCTACTTCTTGATGTATATTTTTTCAAATAACTTTAATGAGTATATGTTGGTTGTAAAGTTTTTGTCTAAAAAATGTTTATTTGGGCTGGGCATGGTGGCTCACACCTGTAATCCCAGCACTTTGGGAGGCTGAAGTGGGTGGATAACGAGGTCAAGAGATAGAGACCATCCTGGCCAACATGGTGAAACCCTGCTCTACCAAAAATACAAAAATTAGCTGGGCGTGGTGGCGGGTGCCTGTAGTTCCAGCTACCAGGGAGGCTGAGGCAGGAGAATTGCTTGAACTCGGGAGGCGGAGGTTGCAGTGAGCTGAGATCCCACCACTGCACTCCAGCCTGGTGACAGAGTGAGACTCTCAGAAACAAACAAAAGTTTATTTGCCTTTTCTTCTTGAAAATTAGTTTTGTTAAATTTACACTTATGGACTAACATTTTTTTTTTTCTAAAAACTTTGTGAAGATTTTATTACTCTGATTTCTGGCTTTCCTTGTTACTGGAGTGAAGTTGGCCACAGCTTTGTCTTTTCCCTTTGGCTGCTTTTAAGATTTTCTCTTTGTCTTTTTTACACTTCAGTTGTGATTACTATGTGTCTTTTTGATGTTTATTTTTATTCATGCTACAGATTGTTTACCAAGCCAAAGTGTTACTGTCCAAAAGTAATGTTAAATGTTTAAATGTTCTTACCTAAGTATTTTTTTCCTCTATTTTTCCCCAATATTTCTGGAACTCCAATTGAAGTGTGTTAAATATTTTTATATCTTAACTCCTTTCTTCTTTTTTTCTTATTGTGTTTCTTTTCCACTCCTGTATTGAATTCTGAGTTATTTCTTTAGATCTGTCTTTTAGTTCGTTAATCATCTCTTCAGAGGTGCCTAATTTTTTGTTTAACCCATCCAATATATATTTAATTTTATCCATCGTATTTTCTAGTTCTAAAACTTCTCTTTCTTTTCCAAATGTTGCTGACAATTTCTAATAGTCGATTCCCCACCCTTTCATGTTTTCAACTTCTTTTTTTCAATTTCTTAATCATGTTAAATATTTTTTTCTTAATTTGTATTCTAAATCTTTTAATTCTAGTGTTTGCATCCTTCAAAGATAGACTTTCATTTAAACCTCATGTAATTATGTTGGTTTGTAACTTATTATTTCTATTTCGAGATAAGGAAAACTAAAGCTAGGAATGCTAAATAATTTACCCATGTCAAAAATTTAATAAATGTCGGGGCTAGTATTTTAACTCTGATTTGCTTGACCTCAGAAATGCTGTTGGTGTGATCATACTTGAGTCTTCCAGTCACTATCGATTGAGCAACTAGTACATGTACCAGTAGATCTCATACTAGACTCTGAGTGTGTTGAGTGTGGGAATAATGCTATATTTAATATTATATCCCATGCATTTGTTAAAAAGCATAGAAAACTGGAGACACTTAATATTTACAAGGTTACATGGCCAATCATTGTCATAGGATCTTGCTACTGGATCTCCTATTATTGAAGATTAAGTACATTTATAGGATCAGTTAATATTTGGCTCATTAACCCCAGACTGCCTCTGTAGTAGGATGTGAGGGCTAATCTTATGGACAATTACGGAATATCTTTGGTGTCTTCATTTATATTTAGTTCCATCCTACTACTTTTGGGTTGTAGTGTTTGTTGGGTCTTTCTTTACCTTTGCTTATTTGGGCTTTTGTGGTAGTTCATTCACTAATGTTGATCTCTTTTTTTTCACCAGTCCATCCTGGATGCTGCTGCTGCATTATTCTCTCTAAAGTGTAGCTTTTATTGTAAAGCTCGTTGACTCAAAAACTTTCAGTATTATCTCTCTATTGCTTATTTTACAATGTCTAAATTATTGCCATTGGCATTCATACCAGTCTTTAGCATAGTTCCAGTTTTCTATTTCAAGCTTAATTCTTCCTACTCTCTGCATAATGACAACAGCTAACACTTATTTTGCACTTTCCCTGTGTGTGGCACCATCTTGGGAGCTTGGTATGTATCATGTCATTTAATATTTGCAACAAATCTAGAGATTTGTACAATTATCCTTGTTTTGCACATGAGGACCTTAAGGCTTAGAGAACTTAATTTGCACAAGTTCACACAGCTAATAAGTGCTCAAGATGAAATTTGAATCCAGACAGTGTCACTCCAGAGCTGATGCTATAAATTACCCACTGAATTGCTTACTTATATCCTATTGCCCTATTCTAAAACCAAAAGGGATTTGTTGTGTCCCAAACTTACATTATACTTTTTTTTGCTTATATTTTATTTTTGTCATGACATGACATGACATGACAAAACCTAACACACACCCAGTTTAAATTTTATTTCTTGCAAATCTTCCCTCATTTTTCAACTCTTAAAATACTACACGTGCCTCTCCTTGTCACAGAAACATTTTTTTCAGTTATCTTTGCATGTGCCTTTCCTCCCTGGTTGTGGTTTAGGGATCAGTGTTTCCAGGATAGATGATGACTTTAGCTGACTTTCAGCAGCTAGCATGTTGTATTACTGCATTTTCACACTGCTATAAAGATACTACCTGAGACTGGGTAATTTATAAAGAAAGGAGTTTAATTGACTCACAGTTCTGCATGGCTGGGGAGGCCTCAGGAAACTTACAATCGTAGCATATGGCAAAGGGAAGCAGGCGACAGGCAGCAGGAGAGATAGAGGGTGAAGGAAAAACTGCCACTTTTAAATGATCAGATCTCACGAGAACTCTCCCTCTATCACGAAAACAGCATAGGGGAAACAGTGCCCATGATCCAATCACCTCCCACCAGGCACTCCCTCCACATGTGGGGATTACAATTCGAGAAGAGATTTGGGTCAGGACACAGAGCCAAACCATATCACTGGGGATCTGAATGAGCAGAAAGAAGTTTGGACGCTGCTTTTGCCACTTTGTAGGTGGATCATTTTGAGAAAGCTGCTCTGAACGCTCTCCAAGTTTCTTTCTGTTGCAGGACTCTTCCTTAATTCAGCTAAAGATGGGGTTCTTGTCCGTCCCACGGCCACGAAAATTTAGGCTTGCAGATGGCTTAAAGGGGGAGTAAAGCAGGGTTTTATTGGGAGAAAAGGGAGAAAAGGGGGAAACAAGGACTCTGGCCCTCCATGAGAGCCATTCCCACTAGGCAGTTTGAGTCCCAGGTTCCACACAGGAAGAGGTGGGGCCAGGGCATGAACTTCCCTCGGCTCCATACAGCAAGAGGCCCTGCAAAGGGCATGAACTTCCTGAGGCTCCACCTCAGTGGGCAGGTTGGTTGGAGTTTCTCCAGGGACCTCCTCCCATTTGGCTGTCTCATTTCCTCACCTATGAAATGAAGAGGCTGAGCTACCTCACAGGGCTGTAATGAGAGAGCAACAAGGTAATGCAGGTAAATCTGATGGCAGGTAAGTGGTGTGTACCCAGTGTTACCTTTTGTTCTAGTCCCACTTAGTTCAAGCGCAGGCCCTTGTTTATATTGGGTATGGAGTAAACAAATTGTAAGAGTGAATGAATCTCCATTGAGTCTCTCGTTGACAAACTCCATGAGTGTGCTCTGCTACTGCAGTTTTTGCATGGGATTTTCCTGATGTTTACTCCTCCGCTCAAATAAAAACTACCAACCTTGTGGCACATTTTTAAGGCTACCTTACTTTTTCTAGGTGATAGTGGCTCTAATTGGTTCAAGAGAGAAACTAATCCTTTCTCTTAAATTAGTTGTCTAATGATTCTTTCTCCGAGGGCAAGTAAGTCTTAATCCATTTCGATGTAGAGACTCCTATAATGAATCATTTGTGGGAGTTCTCTGTCAGGTTTAAAGGAATTTAATTTGGATACATTGTATTGGCTTTTTCAAAGGACCCTTTAAGAGGGTTATTTTCCTCATACATATAACTAACACTATTTTCATTTTTATTCTTGTCCTCATGAGCAAATGGCATAGAGTTTGTTGTTTGGATAACTGGAGAGTTGAGAATAGAATTCATCATTACTGAGATTACTTTCAACTTAACAGATGAAAAGTAAAAACCTCTTGCGTTTGTGAGTACCATGTAAAGTGGCTACAATCAGCAGGTCACAATGGGTCCTGCCACAACTATATATGGAATTCTCTCTTTCCACTCTGTATCCCTGTCTGTCTTCCTTCTGAGCAAGATTTAGGAAACTTCTCTTGGAGCTGTCAGCTTTTGAGTCAAATTCAGAGTTCTACGTGACGTTTTTCTCATTCTTCCATCTCTAGTTTCACGGAGAAGATAAGAAACAGTTTTTTTGGAGTCCATATCTGGTCTCCAAAATAGTGTTTTAAAAAGGTCATTGTGATAGATAGTCTATAAAGTCTTAGTTTTATTTACATATTAATTTTCTGATACTCTATTTATTTGACTCTGTTTTAACTGTGAGAACAGCTCTTATGATGAATACCTTGAAGAAAGAACATGAAATTGTCCTTTTGGGTACTTTGTTATAGCTACAAAGTGTCTACTCTCTCTGCAAATGTAATCAAGTGAAGCAATTTTTCATACAAAGCAAAATAGAGCTGTTGGCTGTAGTCACTGTGAAGACAGGAAACAAAACAAGGCTAATCACTGGAGGAGAAGACACAGAATGAATTTTGTAAGAAATAGGCCATCTTCCTCACTAGGCAGGGGTGTGTGTGTGTGTGTGTGTGTGTGTGTGTGTGTGTGTGTGTGTTAGTTCCCACCACTCTGGAGAATAGGAATATTGATGACATTAACAGAGCTTATTAATGATCGTTGTAACTAACTCCATCCACCTAATGAAATCATCACCTACAATTGGTAACAGGGGAGTGTAATTTAAATGGAACTATTCTGACAAAGTAGTTTGCACTACATTCCTAAATATTTAATACTCCCTATGGCTGGATTAACTGGAATATTTAAGGAGCTATTTAGCCAGGTCTTTCAAAGGTGATGAACAGACATGTTCTATGCTTTTAAAAAAAGACAAATTAATTATAAATAAACTTCTACTTAAAATCTTCTGTCATTGGGCATAATGTAGAGTGGGAAATTATAATTAAAACCATTTTCTTTTATTTCATTGATAAGACAGATACACCCCTAAAGGATAATCTATTTATTTTAAGCAATTTATTAAGACTAGAAAGTAGAGTAAAAGCAGAGTAGAATATATACATAACGCAAGCACACACAAACACACACACACGCACACCACACTTGCATTAAAACATGCCAAAAACTGAATAAGAGACATAAATAGTGTATCATTCAGAAAGTTTGTTTACTGAGCATCTACTATGTAATAATACTACAATAGATGGTGAGGATATGGTTAACAAAATGGAAAAATATGGTATTATATTAGGGGATGTGGATATTACACACATAATTACAAGTGCAATAAGTGCTGCAAAGAAGAAAAGGGGGCCGGGCGCGGTGGCTCAGGCCTGTAATCCCAGCACTTTCGGAGGCTGAGGCGGGCGGATCACGAGGTCAGGAGATCGAGACCATCCTGGCTAACATGGTGAAACCCCATCTCTACTAAAAATACAAAAAAATTAGCCGGGCGTGGTAGCGGGTGCCTGTAGTCCCAGCTACTCGGGAGGCTGAGGCAGGAGAATGGCGTGAACCCGGGAGGCGGAGCTTGCAGTGAGCCGAGATCGCGCCACTACACTCCAGCCTGGGCGAGAGCGAGACTCCGTCTCAAAAAAAAAAAAAAAAAAAAAAAAAAAAAAGAAGAAGAAGAAAAGGGAACTGACAAAATCTTTAACACGGCATTGCTATCCATTCTAGGTCCTCACAGGAGAAAGAGTCATGTAAAATGATGCCCACCTCTCCAACACCTGCCTCGCTTTTTCTAATCAGTCCGTTTGCTAAGTGATTGGATACAATCTTAGTAATTTTTTGTTTGTTTGTTTTTATCCCTTTAGAGAAGCTTAGATTATATTTCCTCTATGGGCTTGTGGAAAACAAAAGTATTGCTGTCTCCTGGCACTTAGACAAGAAAAGGGTATGCAGATTTGCAGCACCTGCTGTCTGCAATTCTCCTTACTTGTTATTGGGATCAGGTTTATAGTTCCTGCAGACCAGGAAGCTCCCACCTCAAATAGACCCTGGTTTCTCATTTACTGGTTATTTCCCTTCCTTCTCTGGTTGCAAGCTGGAGCAAAGGAGTTTATCAGGGCAGCTTTTAGGCTCCAGATGGCAGGGAAAGCCTGGGTGTCCTTGTAAGAAAGAGAGGAGAGAACAGAAAGTTAACATTTCCTAACACTAAAGACCGCTTGTCTTTTGTTGAGAAAATTACCTACTATGTCTCTGTATTATGAACCGGATGTTTTTCTGCTGATTCCTACCAAAGTCAAAGAAAAATAGGCTATACTGCTGTGGTCCTTCAGGATGGCTTTTGTGTATGTATGGCTAAGCATTTGAAATAGGTCTTGTGGATTACTTCAGACAGAAAAGAAAGTGTCAGGCAGGTGAAAAGAGGGGAGCGTTTTTCTGGCAGAACAGCATGTTTAAAATTCTTGGGAAATGTCATCCTTAAAGATTGGAGAGATGTCCAAAATGGTTAGCAGGGAGAAGGAGTTGTTTGAGATGAGCCTGGGGAAATAAGAAGGATAGCTTTATTTTTTCGTTAGACTGCGTAGAGATTATGGATTTGTGGGTATCAAAAAAATATCATCCCTGTTGGATTTTTAAAAGTAAACTTGCACATTTTTTTTTTTTTTTTAAGATGGAGTCTTGCTCTGTTGCCCAGGCAGGAGTGCAGTGGTATCTCGGCTCACTGCAACCTCTGCTGCCCGGGTTCAAGCAATTCTCCTGTCTCAACCTCCTGAGTAGCTGGGAGTACGGGCATATGCAACCATGCCCAGTTAATTTTTGTATTTATAGTAGAGACGGGGTTTCACCATATTGGTCAGGCTGGTCTCTGACTCCTGACCTCAGGTGATCCACCAACTTCAGCGTCCAAAGTGCCGGGATTACAGGCATGAGCCACTGCACCCGGCCAACTTGCACATTTTAAAATACTTTTAAATTTACAGGAAAGTTGCAAGATAGTAGAGAGTTCTGCCCCACACCCAGGTTCCCCTACTATTAACATACCACGTTAGAATGGTTCATTTTTCACAATTAATGAACCAATATTAATACATTATTGTTAATTAACTGCATACTTTGTTTAGATTTTCTTAGTTTTTACCTGAATGTCTCTTTTTTCTGTTCCAGGATCCCATCAGGATGGCACATTACGTTGGGTTGTCATGTCTCTTTATGCTCCCGTCCGTTCTGGCAGTCTCCTTGTTTTTGATGACTTTGAGGGTTTTGAGGAGTACTGATCAGGTATTTTATAGATTGTCCCTCAATTGGGATTTGTGTGATGTTTGTCTCATGATTGGACTAGGGTTATGAGTTTTGGGGAGGAAGAGTAGTACAGAGGTAAACTGCCATTCTCATCACACTAAATCAAGGGCACATCCTATCAATAGGACTCATCTATGTTGACATTAACTGAACATCTGGCTGAAATTGTGTTTGTTAGATTTCTCTACTGTGAAGCTCCTCTTGTTTTGGTCCCTTTCCAAACTGTACCCTTTGGAATGAAGTCCTTATGAACAACCTACATTTAAGAAGTGGGAGTTATGATCCACTTTGAGGGCAAAGTGTCTAATGAAATTATTTGTAATTCTTTGCATAGAAAATTTGCCTCCTCTGTCCTTTTTTTTTTCAACTTTATTTTCTTGCTCAGATTGCTTTGGCCATTGGGAGCTCTTTCAGTTGGCTTCTTTTTCCCGTTGATGTTACCATTGTGTGTGCGTTTATTTTAATTTTTTTTGTTTGTTTGTTTTTATCACTTCTTTACCTCCTGGCATTGTAGAATACTTCAGGCTCATCTTGTATCTTCCCTACCCCAGCCCTAGAATCTGTAATTTCTAAGAGGAGCTCTGGTTTCTCTTAATGAAAAATGATGTTAGAAACAAAAATCAGGGCTTTAGATTTGCTCATTGCTATAGGGCTGTCATTGCTTCTAGGCCTTCTCAGCTGATGGATTAAGGAAATGCATGTGTGTGTAGTAGCTATGTATATACACACATCTGTAAATGTTCCTACGTGTGTCCGTCTGCATCAACATCAAGCTAAACATGGTTAATACTGATGCCTCCAACTCAAATCCATTACCCCATGATCATTCTAGTCTCGCTTCCATGTTTGAAACCTCTCACTCCAACAGTGAGAAACCTGGCTCCCACCATCTGCTGTCCATTTACTTAATTGTTCAATTCCAATATACATACACAGTGGTTTCAGAATCATCCCCGCTGTTCTTTCCCTCCTGTTTTCTGATCTAGAAGGCATGCATTTGACAATGGTCTGAGTTGAAGCTCCAAATGCCTGCCTCCCTTCTTTCTTTCCTTCTTTCCATCTGTCTGTCTGTCCATATATCTATCCATTCCCTTTTCCATTTATCCAGTGAATACACATTTTTAGAGCTAAGTGAGCTCATTGACTTTTAGAATAGGGTTATCACTGGTAGATTTGGGTGGATGAACTAGTACTATTTATTATAGCAGACTCTGTTAACTAAATTCTATTAACCAATATGCCATGTTAACCCATGTTTTCTATTCCCCTTGCGAAATGCACTGTTGGTTGCTTTTGGCAGGTTGAAGCCTTTCAGTGAGCCAGCTACTCTTTATCACGCTCATGTTTATCTGTTCCCACCACATGAGATTTACACAAAATGAGAGATAGTTGTATTTATTTCTAAACCTGTTTCACATTTTCTTCATTTTATTTTAGTTATGTGATTTAATTAAATATTACACAAACTAATGAAATTAACCAGTAAGAATTCAGAACTCTGTTGAATACTTTGGAAACTCTCAAAACAGAGTAAAGATGGCTGTTGATTTGGGGTGGGAAAGATAGTTGTAAAAAATTGGAATTTTTTTTTAACCCAGAAAGGTTGTTTGCCAATAATGCTTCTCAAGTGTATTTAAGTTCTCATACAACTTTAAAAAAACAAGTGAAGGACAATTATGGTAATGTGCTAAGGAAGCCATTAATGAAGGAGGGAAAATGTGCAACTTTTATTGGTGTAGACTCACATCAAAGAAAATGCCTTGGACTTTTACCAAAGACTCACAATTCATGTACATTTAAAAATTAACAGCCAGGCCAGGCACGGTGGCTCACGCCTGTAATCCTAGCACTTTGGGAGGCCGAGGCGGGCGGATCGCCTGAGGTCAGGGGTTTGAGACCAGCTTGGCCAACATGGCGAAACCCTGTCTCTACTACAAATACAAAAATAGCCTGGTGTGGTGGTGAGAGCCTGTAATCCCAGCTACTCAGGAGGCCGAGGCAGGAGAATTGCTTCAACCTAGGAGGCTGAGGTTGCAGTAAGCTGAGATTGTGCCACTGCTCTCCAGCCTGGGCTACAGAGCAAGACTCTGTCTTAAAAAAAAAAAATTAACAACCAGGTGTGGTGGCTCACACCTGTAATCCCAGCACTTTGGGAGGCCAAGGTGGGTGGATCATTTGAGGTTAGGAGTTTGAGACCAGCCTGGTCAACATGGTGAAATCCCGCTTCTATTAAAAATACAAAAAATTAGCTGAACGTGGTGGTGGATGCCTGTATTCCCAGCTACTTGGGAGGCTGAAGCAGGAGAATGACTTGAACCCGGGAGGTGGAGGTTGCAGTGAGCTGAGATCACGCCACTGCACTCCAGCCTGGGTGACACAGCAAGACTGTCTCAAAAACAAACAAACAATAAATTAACATAAAAAACTTATCACTTTGAACTGGGCACAGTGGCACGTGCCTGAAGCTGAGGCAGGAGGATCACTTGAGCCCAGGCGTTCCAGTCTCTAGTGTGTCAGGATCGCGTCTATGAATTGCCACTGCACTCCAGTCTGGGCAACATAGAGAGATCTTGTTTCTAAAAAACAAAAAGCAAACAACAACAAAAAAGCTCTCTCACTTTGATTGATTTTTCTGTGATAAATCATTTATCCTATCTGCTATGGAGAAGTGGATCTACTGCATTTCTATTCTTGATGTGTATTATGACTTTAATAGACTTTTATAGCTTAGTTTGGAAAACTAGTCATGACTAAAAATTTGTGTTCAGAGTTCTAAACAATAGTGGTAAACATTTAAGTTAGCACCTCTGGAGCTTGTGCTGGACATCTTACACATGCCCTTCCCAATCTATTTTCTTTTTTTTTTTTTTAATTTTTTTTTTCTTCCTTCCAATCCACTTTCTACCTTTCTCTCCTCTCGGTGCCCAGGAAGCTGGCCTGTAGAGGTTATGTCAGTGGTGACCCCTTGCCTTCTGGCTTTTTGCTGGATTAGCCTAATGTTGTGTCCTTCTAGGAGATTGGGGAGCTGATGAAAAGTGAGGCATGAAGAATGGTTCTTCCAATTTTCTTGTTGCAAGGTCACCTATAGCTAAGTATGTCTCTCCAACAAAATCACTCTTCCTCTCAAGGCAGATTCCTTTACATGAACCTCTTTTCTTCTAGATTCTGGCAATTGCTTCCTCTGTTCATTCTTTGACCTAGTAATGGTAACTGCTCCACTGCTTTTAGATTCAGATTACTGCACTATCCCTTTTTCATCTCTACACTCACATTCTGTGGATCAGCCATTTATGGAGAAATACTCTTCCAATTATTCTGAACACATTCACAATACATACACTATAGTCTGTCTGAAATATAATCTAATGAAAGATAACTAGGTTGGAGGGTGGAGGTTGAAAGAACTAGGTTTTTTTGTCCAAATGACATCATTACTTATAGGGTGACCTCTGATAAATTTCTTAAGTTTTTTGAATCTTAGTTTCTTCCTATATGAATTCACTAGCCTACCAAATGATTGGAGAGAAGCATTCTCATACATGTGAAAGAGGATAAGCAACTATCCCCCTTCTAGTTCTACATTCAGGTAGGGAAGTAAAAGGGAACTAGGGTTTGTTGAGAACATGCCAGGCATTCTCGCATCAGACTTACAGCTACTCCATGATATTTGGTGTTATTCCCATTTCATCAATCATGAAACTGAGGCTAAGAGCTCCTAGGTTGGTCACACAACTAAACTGTCAGTTTCTTTATCAGACCAATTACTGGTTCTATGCCCAATATCCAGCATGTTTAGCAGAGGTAGGTGCTTATGAACGTTTGCAGGAAGAATGGATATGGGAGGAAACAAAAGGAGGCAGGATTTGGATCCAATTCTGAATGACTCCAAAACCCATCCTAGTGTGGTTAACAAAACATAATTCCTAGTATTAAATAGATGAAACAAAACTCTTTTCAATTTTGTGGTGGACTAAATTATGATCTCTTCTTGTATGTTTACTATTATATCTATTTGACTTAGATTTAATGAGTTAATATTTATCAGGAAAACACACACTGATAGATGGGATGGCACAAAGGTATAGATAGATATTGCTGGAGTTTATGATATCATAATCCTCCCAGGCTAGAATGCTGTTGCCTGTAAAGCACAGAGAATATTGCTGGACCTACTTAGCTATCTTGACTGATAACAACCTTAAATAATAGGCGTATTCCAATTTTCCTTAGAGACTTATCAACCTATTTTTGTTTAAGACATTTGTGTCTCTTTTGCTGAGGGCTGAGGTTGGGAAGTAGGTATGACTTTATTATATCTTATGTGAAATAATGCTTTCATTTTTCATGTATATTTAACCCATTTGTATTTCAAAAGCATTTTTGCTTTAGCATTTTGGAATTTAAATGAATTTGTTACCTTGCACATGTCATTGATTTTATAAATTTTGGTAATGAGCCTTTACTGCCTTACAAAGCAAGTCAAATTTTGCAGGCTGTCCTCTCATGACAATCTCTTCATCTGCCTAGATGATCATGATATGGAGAAGTAAGCTGAGGATCAGATTGTTTTCTGCTGATGGCACTTCAAGTGGGTAGCCTATATGATTTGGCTGTTGTTGCTTGTGTAAACACATGGAAGTACTGTCATGTAAAAGTCTGTCATTTTCTCTTAGATATTTATGCACACGCAAGTATACATATATATGCACATATGTGTATACATGTATGTTGTGTGTGGGTATATTTCTTCCTGTTACTCAATTTTATCTTTTATTCTTGATTCAGAGGGTACATGTACAAGTTTGCTATATGGGTATATAATTGCGTGATGCTAGGGTTTGGGATCCAAACGATCCTGTCACCCGGATAGTGAACATAGCCCCTAAAAGGTTTTCAACTCCTCCCCAGCTCCCTTCTACCCGCTTCTATCAGTCTCCAGTCTATTGATGCCATCTTTTTTTTTTTGTCCTTGAGGCAAGCTCTTGCTTTGTTACCCAGGTGGGAGTTCAGTAGTGTGATCACAGCTCACTGCTGCCTCAACCTTCTGGGATCAAGCAATTCTCCCACCTTGGCTTCCCAAAGTGCTGGGATTACAGGTGTACGCCACCATGCCCGGTGTATTGATGCCATCTTTATGTCCATGAGTACACAATGCTTAGCTCCCACTTATAAGTGAGAACATGTGGCATTTGGTTTTCTGTTTCTGTGTTAATTCACTTAGGATAATGGCTTCCAGCTGCATCCATGTTGCAGCAAAGGATATGATTTTGTTCTTTTATATAGTTGCATATTTCATGGTGTATATGTACATTTTCTTTATCCAATCCACCATTGATGGGCACCTAGGTTGATTCCATGTTTTTGCTATTATGAATAGTGCTGTGATGAACATATGAGTACATGTGTCTTCTTGGTATAGTGATCTATTTTCCTTTGGATATATACACAGTAATGGAATTGTTGGGTTCAATAGTAGTTTTAAGTTCTTAGCGAAATCACCAAACTGCCCTCCACCATTGCTGAACTATTTACATTCACACCAACAGTATATAAGTGTTGCCTTTTCTCAGCAACCTTGTCAGCATCTTCTGCTGTTTTTTGATTTTTTTCTTTTTTGACAGAGTCTCACTCTCTCACCCAGGTTGGAGTGCAGTGGTGGGATCTCACCTCACTGTAACCTCTGTCTCCAGAGTGCAAGCAATTCTCATGTCTCAGCCTCCCAAGTAGCTAGGATTACAGGTGTGTGTTACTACACCCTGCTAATTTTTGTATTTTTAGTAGAGATGGGGTTTTGCCATGTTGACCAGGCTGGTCTTGAACTCCTGGCCTCGAGTGATCCCTCTGCCTTTGGCTCCCAAAGTCTTGGGATTACAGGCAAGAGCCACCATGCCTGGGCCTGTTTTTTCACTTTTTAGTAATAGCCATTCTGACTGGTGTAAGAGGGTGTCTCATGGTGGTTTTGATTTGCATTTCTCTGATGATTAGTGATGTTGATTGAGCATTTTTTCATATGATCCTTGGCCACTTGTACATTTTCTTTTGTAAAGTGTCTGTTCATGTCCTTTCCCCACTTCTTGATAGTGTTATTTATTTTTGTTTGTTGTGTTGTTTAAGTTCCTTACACATTCTAGATATTAGACTTTTGTCAGATGCATAGTTTGCAAATATTTTCTTCCATTCTGTAGGTTGTCTGATTACTCTATTGACAGTTTCTTTTGCTGTGCAGAAGCTTATCTTAATTATGTCCCACTTGTCAATTTTTGTTTTTGTAGCAATTGCTTTTGAAGGCTTAGTCATAAATATTTCTGAGGACCAATGTCCAGAATGGTGTTTCCTAGGTTGTCTTCTAGGATTCTTATAATTTGAGGTCTTACATTTAAGTCTTTAATCCATTTTGAGTTAATTTTTCTATATAGTGAAATGTAAGGGTCCAGTTTTATTCTTTTGCATGTAGGTAGCCAGCTATTCCAGCATCATTTATTGAAAAGGGAGTCCTATCCCCATTGCTTACTTTTGTTGACTTTGTTGAAGATCAGATGGTTGTAGGTGTCTAGTATTATTTTTGGGTTCTCGATTCTGTTCCACTGGTCTTTGTCTGTTTCTGTACCAGTCCCCTGCTGTTTTAGTTACTTCAGCCTTATAGTATAGTTTGAAGTCAAGTAATGCGACACCTCTAACTTTGTTCTTTTTGCTTAAGATTGCTTAACTATTTGGGATCTTTTTTGGTTCCATATGAATTTTAGAATAGTTTTTTTCTAATTCGGTGAGAAATGACTTTGGTGGTTTGATAGGAATAGTGCTGAATCTGTAGATTGCTTTGGGCAGTATGGCTATTTTAATGATATTGTTCTTCCAATTCATAAGCATGGAATGCTTTTTCATTTGTTTGTGTCATCTATGATTTTTTCTTCAGTGTTTTGTAGTTCTCCTTGTAGAGATCTTTCACCTCCTTGGTTACATGTATTCCTAGGCATTTTTAAATGGCTATTGTAAACGGGATTGCATTCTTGGTTTGCCTCTTACCTTGAATGTTATTAATGTATAGAAATGCTACTGATTTTTGCACATTGATTTTGTATCCTGGAATTTTACCGAAGTCATTTAGCAGTAACAGTAGCCTTTTGGCAGAGTGTTTAGGGTTTTCTGTGTATAGGATCATATCACCGGTGAAGACAGATAGTTTGACTTCTTTTCCTATTTGGATGTCTTTTATTTCTTTCTCTTGTCTGATTGCTCTGGCAAGGACTTCCAGTACTATGTTGAATAGGAGTCGTGAGAGTGGGCATCCTTGTCTTGTTCCAGTTTTCACATGTGGCTATTTTTAAGTTATTTGCTGAAAAGTAACTTCATCTCTTTTGTGTAGGTACTGTAGCCAAAGTAAAGATAGTTCATGACTATCTTAAATGCTCTTCAAGTGAATGTTAAAATTTAATGGCTCATCACTAATGACTACCCTTTTTTGTTCACAATTTTGCTTAGGCTAAGAACTTGAGAGTTTAGCAGTGGTTAGAAACTTCAAACAGATCTTGCGAGTATTGGGTCTGTAGAGAAGTTCTAAGGCAAACACCAAAAAAATGGACAAATCTTCCTGTTAGTTCTGTTGCATTTACATGATGGGTTGTCAAATAAGAGGGCATGAATATGATAGTTTAGTTTCATATTAATCAAATCCTGCTTTACTGCCATCACAAAACCTTCTCAGGTCATGATCCAGCCGGTCTGTTTCTTAAATATGGTTTTATAATGTCTGTGTGAGGTAATTAATATTAATTGTGGCTTCCCTTGGTGTTATATTATCCACTGCTATTTGTCATTTGCTGTAAATTCTCTGGTTGGAATTCGCTGTGTTTCTGAAGTGTGTATTAATACACATTCTTGAGTTACAGTCTACCATCTTGAGAGACATAGTGGCCATTTGGCCTCTGGGCAGTAGTCCAGAAACAAAAATGTTCAGTGATCTTATAATGTAATTTAAAAATCTGTGGCCATAAACTTTTCTCTGTGGGGATTTGTTGGATTCTTTTTTTTTTTTAATCCCTAAGGCTTAGTTTCCTTCTAAAAATTGGAGGAAATACTGGTACCTACCTCACAGAGTTGTTGTGAAGATTAAATGTCCTAATGTATGTAAGATAATGAGCCTGACGTGTGGCATTTAGTAAGTGCTAAGTAAATGCCATCCACTAAAGCCATTAATACTCTCAGAATTAGGTAATATGCTATAGCAAAACTCACACTCGTTTTAATTTGCCAATGTGAGCATTTGTGTTCCCCTACCTTAAATTTTTTTTTCCCCCTGAACAATGCCTAGTCCGGGACCTTAGCATCAAGTAATAAGTAGCAAGCTCTGAAAGGTCCATTAATTTTTAGAGGCCACTAATGCATCATTGAGTAAACTGGCTCACTGAGCTCCCTGAATGATATCCTAGAAGAGTTAACAGTTTTCCAAGAGGGAAAAGTAGTTTAATCCCTTCTCACTAGTATTTTCAGACCCATTAAGCTCTAAGTAATGGTAAGGCTTCCATGACAGCTTGAGCAATGTACTATATTTTTTATTCTTTCTCCAAAGGGCCTATTATGGCTATATCATTGAGTTGTTTGTTCTTTGGTTTCCATTAAAGAGAGTAATTCCAGTAAAGGTTAAAAAAGGGCCTCTCTCTGTCTCATATTGCCTTTCTATTATCTGACTCAATATTTACTGATTATGAAAAAGTTAACTAATCAAAAAGTTTAATAAAAGAGTTAAATAAAGGCATGAAATAAAATGAAAAGCATAGCATCTGTCAAATGCTTAAAGGGCATTGTGGTCCTATTTATTTATTTATTTTTCTGTCAGTATATACAGCTAAAAAAAGGACTGATTATCACAGTAACTCCTGGATTGTAATTGGGAAGGAGAAGAAAAGAAAGAGAAGAGGACTCTTCTTCAGTTGAAACAAATTTTTAGGGTAACCATTCTGCCATATTGCTGGAAATGAAATTTATGAAATCAAAAAGGGAAGTTGCTTATGAATTAGTAACTTTTGAAGATTCAGTACCAAATATGAGCTGTAGTACATTTGCCTGTTTATTGGAATGAATGATCGCTATTTCTTTCTCACTTCATCTTACTTCACCTGTGAAATAGTAAAAGATTATTTCTATAAATCCACAGCCCCTTAGAAAGGGGGCTCTGTAGATTGCAGCTATCAAAAGCTTAGCATTTAGCATTTCACCTTGGCTTCATTTGTGTTGGTCACTGTGTTTCACAAAAGTGGACAATTGCCTGATAGGCAATTAACTCACACCTAGATTTCTAGGTAAAACTTTACCAATGATAATCATCTCAGAGCTCTTTTGTACAAAAACTTCAAGATTAATATGATTCATCTAGATCCATCCTGGTTGAGGGAGGGACTTATTCTGGGGTTTACTAGATTAAAACCCCAGGACTTATGAATTATATTGGAGGAAGCTAGTCTTCAGTGCTGATTATAATTTTAATTTATAGTAAAACTTGCTAAATGTTGGAGGACCCCACCCCTTGAGGACTGCTGTAAGGAGAGAATATTGTGACACGTCTGCAGAAGGTTCTGCCCAAGGTCCTACATTGCTCTGGGAAATGCTTACTTTATTTTATTCTGGTCTTTTCCAGTTACACCTGATCTCGGTAAGGTTTCTTTTTCTTTGCTCTTGGCCAGACTACCATGCTCTATATCATTAACCCTAAACTCTGGGGAACTGATCCCCTGACAGCATCTTTGATATTAGATTAGATCCCTTCCAGGCTGCATTTAATTGACTAAGTTCCTAGGGGGAATAACTGCTCCTGTTCCCTGTCTCTATTTTACCTGGCCACTCTTCTTTAGTAGCTGGCTTGCAAATTCATTGTGTCTCCATGAAGAAGGAAGTGCGACAGATAAAAACAAATGTTTATGAATCCCTTTTTTTTCATTCTAATAACATCACTACAGTCACACTTGTCAATGAGCTCCTTTGTTCTTTCTGAATCCTCCTCCTCCGAGTAATAAGAAAGTGGCCACTTTCCTCTTATGTCCTTCACATTGCACCTTATGTATTTTTTTGAAAGCAAAAGACAAGAGAATACCAGTAATTAAAATACCACTTCTTTTTCCTTGGCTTTAATGTCTTCACTTCTGTTTTTAATCTTTTAAATCATTTATTTTTAAATAAATTTATATTCTGAATATTTTTGTTGATCTTTCTTTTCTTACAAAGATAAAAAACTCACCTTGTTTCTTCCCAAATATAGAGGATATGCTCAGTGTGAAAACTTCAAACATAGAAATATATAATATGGAGAGTGAAAGATAACCGTAATAATAATCTTTCTCCTCCCCCTGCAAAAAAGTTAATCTTTATTTTTTGGTGGGTAGTCCTTCTGATTTTTCTGTGTGTATAATGTCAATTTTTGATGGTAACATTGCTCTTCAACAATTAAAAAATAAATTTGGTAGGTAGTTGTTAAAATTCATTCCTATTCCTTCCCTAAGACATATCCAGAGGCTCTTAGGCAAACATGCGAGTTCACAATCGTAGATTTATAATTGGTTGAAATGTTAAAATCTGATTTGGTCAAGTCACTGAAATCCCTCCTTCTAAGGTCCTTCTGTGTCTGGAATTGGTTCTTTCCAGTGGGTTCTTGGTCGCTCTGACTTCAAGAATGAAGCTGCGGACCCTTGCGTTGAGTGTTACAGTTCTTAAAGATGGCGTGTCCAGAGTTTGTTCCTTCAGATATTCAGATGTGTCCCGAGTTTATTCCTTCTGGTGGATTCATGGTCTTGCTGACTTCAGGAGTGAAGCTGTAGACCTCGCGGTGAGTGTTACACCTCTTAAAGGTGGCGCATCCAGAGTTGTTTGTTTCTCCCAGTGGGTTTGTGATCTCGCTGGTTTCAGGAGTGAAGCTGCAGACCTTTGCAGTGAGTGTTACAGCTCATAAAGGTAGTGTGGACCCAAAGAGTGAACAGCAGCAAGATTTATTGCAAAGAGCGAAAGAATAAAGCTTCCACAGTGTGGAAGGGGACCTGAGTGGGTTGCCCTGCCGGCTGGGTGACCAGCTTTTATTCCCTTATTTGGCCCCGCCCACATCCTGCTGATTGGTCCATTTTACAGAGTGCTGATTGGTCCATTTTACAGAGTGCCGATTGGCCCGTTTTTACAGAGTGCTGATTCATGCATTTACAAACCTTTAGCTAGACACAGAGCGCTGATTGGCGAGTTTTTACAGAGTGCTGATTGGTGCATTTACAAACCTTTAGCTAGACACTGAGCGCTGATTGGTGCGTTTTTACAGAGTACTGATTGATGGGTTTACAAACTTTTAGCTAGACACAGAGCGCTGATTGGTGTGTTTACAATCCTCTAGCTAGACAGAAAAGTTCTCCAAGTCCCCACCCGACCCAGAAGCCCAGCTGGCTTCACCTCTTGCTTCGCCCCTTGCTACAGTGGAGCTCTGAGATGTTACATGAGTTCTCTGATGTCACAAGCTGCTGATCCCAGCTTCTTTGTTTCTTGCCCTTGGCCTTAGTTCTTCTTGATGTGTCTTCCCTTGAAATGATAGCTCAGGGCTAAGATCACACAGATCTGTTCAGTTTGCACTTTGCTATGTGCTACCTGCACTATATACTACATGTCCTCCTCTTCCAAACGGTAAGAATGCTGATTACTGTGGTTGCTAATTCCTGAGTTTCCTTTTGTGTCTGAATAATCATAATTAAGTGATTATGAGAGACCCACCTGCAAAGTATTAGTTCCCTTTCTCCTTCAGGAAGAAATAGGGTTCTGAGGTGTAGGTAAGCCAGGCAATTGAAAGGTGCACCTCCCAACTCCATGCAAACTGTGCCTCACCCAGAGCCAAACTGTTTTATTTCCCACTGGCCTCATGCTCTGTGCTATGAGAACTTTAATCTTTTAGAGTTTAATTTTTTCTCCTGATATAAGGAAATGAATTAGTCATACTTTAGGCCCAGGGCTTTTAAATATTTTTAAACATTTTTGTTTACTATTAAATTGACAAAAGTTGCATATATTTATTGTATACAACATGTTTTGAAGTATGTAAACATTGCAGAATGGCTAATTGCAGCCAAGCTAATTAGCATTTGTGTTACCTCACATACTTATCACTTTTTTTTTGTGGTGGGAACACAAAATCTACTCTTATAGCAATTTTCAGATTTAAAGTAAATATATTGCTATTAACTATAGTCAGAATGTTGTATGATAGATCTGTTGAATTTATTTCTTCCATCTTACTAAAATTTTCTTTCATTTGACTAACATTTCACCTACCTATCCCCTAGCCCCCATCTCAGCCTTTGGTAATCACTTTCTACTCTCCACTTCTATTAGTTTAACTTTTTAAGATTCCATATGTAAGATCAATCATATGGTATTTGTCTTTCTGTGCCTGGATTATTTCACTTAACATAATGTCCTCTAGGTACATCTATATTGTTGCAAATGACAGAATTTTCTTCTTTTTAAAGTCTGAGTAGTATTCCATTGTGTGTATACGATACATTTCCTTTATCCATTCATCCACTGACAGCCAAGATATGGTTAATTCCATATCTTGGAATTAACCGTAGATATGGTTATGCAAATTGAATTAACCAAGATATGGTTAATTCCATATCTTGGCTGTCAGTGGATGAACGGATAAAGGAAATGTATCAACCACATCTGGGTAAGTGCCTATTGTGAATAATGCTTTAATAAACAGGGGAGTGCAGATATCGCTTCAAAATACTAATTTCATTTCCTTTGGATATCTACCCAGTAGTGGGATAGCTGGATCATATAGTGTTTCTATTTTTAGTTTTTTGAGGAACCACCATACTGTTTTCCACAATGGCTACACTAATTTATATTTCTACTAACAGTATACATCTCGTTCTCCTTTTCTCCACATCCTAACACTTGTTGTCTTTTGTCTTTTTGATAATAGCCATTCTATCAGGTGTTTCATCATATTTCATTGTAGTTTTAATTTGCATTTCTTTGGTGATTAGTGATGTTGACATCATTTACATGTCTTTTTTTTGAGAAATATCTATTCAGGCCCTCTGTTCATTTTTTAGCTGGATTATTTGTTTTCTTATTATGGAGTTGCATGGGTTTTTATGTATTTTCGGTATTAACCCTTTATGAGATACCTTGTTTGCAAATATTTTCTCCCATTCTTTAGGTTGTCTCCTTACTCTGTTGCTTGTTTCCTTGGCTGTGTAGAGGCATTTTAATTTGATGTAACCCCACTTGTTTATTTTTTTGTTTGTGCTTTGAGGTTCATATCCAAAAAAGTATTTGTCCAGATCAGTGTCATGGAGCTTTTCTTCTATGTTTTTTTTTTAGTTGTTTTACAGTTTCAGTTATTACATTTAAGTCTTTAATACACATTGAGTTGATTTTTGTATATGGTGTGAGATAAGTATATATTTCATTTTTCTACATGGGGGTTTTCAGTTGTTCCAAGATCATTTATTAAAGATACTGTCCTTTCCCAAAGGTCCAGTGTATGTGTCCTTGGCACTTTTGTCAAAAACCAACTGGTCCTAAATGTGTGGATTTGTTTCTGAGCTCTCTGTTCCATTGATCAGTGTATCTTTTTTATGCCAATACCATGCTGTCTTGATCATTATAGACGTGTAGTATATTTTGAACTCAGGTAGTGTGATACCTATAGTTTTGTTCTTTTTGCTCAAGATTGCTTTGACTATTTGGGTTTTTTATAGTTTCATACAAATTTTAGAATTGTTTTTTCTATTTCTGTGAAGAATGTCATTGGAATTTTGATAGGGATTGCTTTGAATCTGTAGATCACTTTGGGTAACAGTGACATTTTAACAATATAATTCTTTCAAACCATGACCATGAAAAATCTTTCCATTTATCTGTGTTTCCTTTGATTTATTCCACCAGGTTTTAGTGTACAGTTTTCAGTGTACAGGTCTTTCACCTCCTTGGTTAAATTTGTTCCTAAGCATTTTTTTTTTTGTCACTGTTGTAAATGAGGTTGTTTTCTTGATTTATTTTTTTGGATTGCTTATTACTAGTGTATAGAAATGCCTCTGGTTTTTGTATATTAATTTTATATCCTGAAACTTTGTTGACTTATTTTATTTGTTCTTACAGGTGTTTTGATAGAGTATTTGTGGTTTTCTATATAGAAGATCATGTTGTCTGCAAACAGGGACAATTTAACATCTTTCTTTCCAATTTGGATGTCTTTAATCTCTTTCTTTTGTCTAATTGCTCTGGCTAGGAACTTCCAGTACTATGTTAAATACAAGTAGTGTGTGTGGGCATCCTTGTCTTGTTCCTAATCTTAGAGGTCCAGTACTTTTAATGGTGACTTGGCAGGTATGCCAATGAATTAAAAAAGATTTTTGTGGCAGCCTACTGAACACTGCCAGAGTAATGCTATCACATATTAACTTTGTTTGCTGATTCTCTAAAGAAGATAAAGTAGTTGACCCAATTATATCAGCTTCTATTTTTTCTCTTAGGTCTTAGGATAAAATAACCCCTTGAAAAATCTTTCCTACCCTTCTTTCTGGCATGTTATCCTTAGAGGAGATGCGCCAAGGAGAAGCTGGTTCTGCTCAGGTGGACAGAAGTTGGAACAAAACCCTTTAAACTCTGAGCTCTAGTTTGGAGTCTGGAGATGTAAAAGTTTTATTAAATCTGTAACTGAGTAGCTTAGTGGCTTAGCCTCGAACTACATTTTAAAACTCTTTTTTTTCTTTCCCCTCTTCTCCTCCCCACTGCCCAGTCTCTAGCTATAACTTTGAGATAAACTGCATGTGTGTTATCTTTCATCTTGAAATGCAGCCTCAGAATGTGCTGTGAAGCTCCACTCCCTTTTTTTTCCCATTCTGTACTCCCATGCCTTATGCACATTTATTTACCTAGATACTTGTTACGCACACACCATGCTCACTTATCTGGTCATATATTTCCTTAGAAGCTTCAGGGGTTGGATCCTGATAGGGACCAGCCACTTCTTTCTAACAAAAGATTACTTCAAGGCTGGAACCCACTCCTAGCTAAACAGTGACTACAAGATTGACTGCAATTAATTTATAACCTGGTAGGATCCATGATGACATCCTCCCCTTCACCAAATGGAACAATAATTCAGTATAAGCCATTGGAGCAAGTCATGCCACCTGGTGCCTATTCCCCCTTGCCTCTTCTGCATTCCAAACCCAAACCCTTTCTTTAAAAACCCCTACACTCCCTCCACAAACTGAAGAGTGGAACTGCTTTCTACTCTTCCCTTTGCTAGCACCAATAATGAAGAAATCTCGCTCTTTTTAAAATCACAACTCACTAGATTTTAACTTCTTTCTACAAGCAGCCAGCAGCCAGACCCTTTTGCCAGTTACACCTCCACTACATCAAGACAAAACTTCAAGACCCTACTCAAGTCCTTTAACTCCTCCCAGGATGGGGAAGATGTTTCTAGAAAAATCATAACATCAGATCAAAGGCAAGCTACATCCATCCCAAAGCATGACATGCCCAATTATTGAAACTGACAATGGAAGAATATGAAGGTGAAGTAGACCTGGAGATTGGTGATATTACTATGTTTTATTTTTTGATGCACCAAATAAATGAGATTTCCTCTCTTTTGTGTCCGGTTTAGAAGCTGCTTAATTTGCTTAAGCCATATGGGTGAGGTAGGGAAAGTTAATGGAAGTGGGAAATGATTGCATTGAGCCCACTTGACCCATTCTGCAACACCTGCAGCACCTGGTACCTGTAAGCATTTGGGAAATGATTGCTGTCTTCATGCCGGATGGTCCTGGCACCTTTCAGGGGCTGCTTGTTGCCTTATTTGTTTCTTTTCCTAAACTTCAAATGATTCTTGTCATTCCTCTGAAACTAAATTTATCCCTTTGTTGTCATCTCTCCTGTCTTTATCTATGGTGACTTGGTTATTCCTAAAGCCAATGATGTTGAGTCCCCTGAAGTGGGGATAAGAGGAATGTTCTGTTCACAAGTATTAATAATTTTTAATTAGCCTCCTCAATGGGTACCCTTTATGTTGCAACTTTTTATTTTCTTTTCTAATTTTTTAATTATCCCTAACCTTGAAAAAGTCAAGAATGATTCTTCTAGGGGCTCTGTTGGAGAGTACCTCAAATAGCATCATCCAATTTCATCTTTAAAAATTCCTTCTCCATTTAACCTAATCAGTTTTGAGATTGGATTAAATTAAATACCTCCAGTCCTTTTCTACTTTTGGATGACTGTGATTTATTCACATATATTTATCTCATGTCTATTATATGCCAAGCATTCTTTTCATATTGAGAAAAAAATTTTTCCAGCCCTAATGAGGTACTTAAAATAGTAGGGGAAATAGATAGGATGATCAGAGGAGGTGATATTTGACCACAATAAACTTGTATGAAATGAAGGATCACTCCATATGAAAGCCCTAGGTAAAGAGAGTTTCAGGAAGGAAACAAAGAACAGGAATGAGCGTACTGTATTCACACCACAGCCTAGGAGGCCAGGGAGGCTGGATTGAGTGAGAGGAGGGCATGGTGGCCCAGAAGAGTCTGGAGTGGTAGCCACAAAGAGACTGTACAGAACTCTGTACAGGACTCTGTAGGCCATGGCCAAAAGTTTGTATCTTAAACCTATTAAGGACCATTTCCACTTATTTAAGAATTTTTATTCCCAAGTTGTCAGCAGAATTTGCCTCATTGTCTTTTCTCCCTGGAGATCCGTCAGGGTTTCTCATATGGTGCCATATCTCACTGATTCTGAGATAAAATGATAAAAGATGAAATCTTTTTTCATTTTTATGTCTCTAAATTTGGGATATGAGCTGTAGCTGAGAATGCCTTGGCATAGGGCCATAGTTTGACCTCATTTGTCTTTCTTAGTGGTAAAGAAAATAATGGGGCATCTTATAACTGATGATGTCTTAGTTTGGGTGAAATACGGTATGTCCAGGACTCCAGAATGGTTCACAATTAACATCTCTCACATCTCCCTGGCTTCATGGTGACCTGGTAGAACAGAACCACGGTCAGAAGCTGGTAAACATTAAGGTAATTTCTTACAATGCCTCCCAATCATTTAGACTCAGGTATCAGTCATACTTCTAATTATGAATTTTCAATATAATACTGATGAGAAACAGGAATGTAATGACAGCTCTGGGCTGTGGTGTTATATATATATATCATATTTTTTTTTCTTCTTTCGCTCTGTTGCCCAGGCTGGAGTGCAGTAGCATGATCTTGGCTCACTGCAGCCTCCACCTCCCAGGTTCAAACAATTCTCCTGCCTCAGCCTCCCGAGTAGCTGGGACTACAGGAGCAAGCCAGCAAGCATGGCTAATTTTTGTATTTTTAGTAGAGATGGGATTTCACCATGTTGGCCAGGATGGTCTTGATCTCCTGACCTCGTGATCCGCCCGCCTCGGCTTCCCAAAGTGTTGGGATTACAGGCGTGAGCCAACGCGCCTGGCTTATAGATGTTTTTGTCCATGGCTCTATTAAATTTACATGGTTCTTGTTTTAATGTTACGTGGTTTAGGCCTCAGGGAACAAAAATCTCACTCCTGTCCTTTCACTTGCCCCAAGACAAGACTCCCATCTTCCCTCCACCTCTCTGATTGCAGGTTTTAAGACTCTTCCAGAGAGGGTCCCACCTGTGGGAAGGAGGAAGGAATGCTGACATCAGGAAGTCTCCATAAAAACTCAAGAGGACCAGGTTTGGGGAGCTTCTGGGTAGCTGAACACGTGGCGGTTCCTGGAGGGTGGTACACCCAGGGAAGACATGGAAGCTTCCAGCCCTTTCCCCATACTTCACCCTATACATCTCTTCATCTGTATCCTTTGTAATATTCTTAAATCAGTAAACATAAGTGTTTCTCTGAGTTCTATGAGCCACTCCAGCAAATTAACCCCACCCAAAGAGGGAGGTGTGGTAACCTCAACTTGAAGCAGTTGGTCATAAGTTCTGGAGGCCTGGACTTGTAACTGGTGTCTGGGGGTGTGAGAGGCAGTCTCACCACGAAGCCCCCAGTCTGTGGAATCTGACACTTTTTCCAGGTAGATGGTGTCGGAATTAAATTCGAGGACATCCAGCTGGTGTCTGCTGCTTGGTGTGTGGGAGAAAAAGGCTCACACATTTGGTCAAAGTCTTCTGTGTTGATGATTGTTGCTGTGGTGGTGTGACAGTAGGGGAAAAATGTGGTTTGAGATTTTTTTTCCCTACACAGAACGTAATGTGCTTATGTACCGAGCTAACTGGGCCACAAAGGAAATGAACATGCTACCCTGACCTTATTGTTAGTCTTCACTAACCAACTAAGCTAAATAGATAATGAAACATCTGTGGATTTGGCACATTTTTCTAGTTTTTGACAACTTTGGTAATGCCTATCTTCTCTCCTGAGGTCTTAAGACCATGCAGAGGGGTCTCTACCTTTTAAGTGAACCTTTGGAGTGCCCATGTTAAAATGATTGTTTGCTTTCTTCCTATAGTGCAGCTGCAGAGCTCCTTGAGGACAGGAACTGTGTCATTCATTTCTGTATTTTTAATGCCTACCAGAAATGCCTTGCTCATGGTAGACATTCAATACAAATTGATTAAGTAGATGTCAAGAGTTCATCACCTCAAGGAGCTTATGCTCCAAAGAAAAGCTTGTTCTTAACGTATTGAAAACTTGCACAGATTCCTTGTTTACTAGGACCAAAGATGTGTTTTCTACAACTCAGACATAAAAGTCAAGTGGCTGTCTATGATTTTTATAACTGACTTCATCTTGTTCTTGGATTCTCATTTAAGCAGGCAACAGAAAGTATTTAAACTTTAAGTTCAAAGTTAATTCAAACTCTTCAGGTATAAAAACAATCTTCTTTGGATAAATATTCAATTCAAAATTTGGCAACTTGCCAGGCTTATTTTTCTCTTCTTGGGCAGCTTTCCTTCCTTCTTCCGTGATGACATCAAGTGGACAGTGACCTTGGTTCAAATGACATACTATTTCCTGGCTGGCTCCAATGAAATGTTAGTTCATCAATTCACTGGGTGTTCTTGGCAAGTGATACTAAGACATGGCATGTTGCACCCGATCTTTTGGGGGATTGTATATTGGTCCCAAGCTGCCAGGGTGTGAGAAAACCCAGGTCCAGCTGAGAGTCCATGCCTATGTATTCCAGCTGACACTAGCCTCAGCTAAGGTGTCTGGTACAAAGCCAGCATTGACTGCCAGACATCTGAATGAGTGAGCCTTCTGATGCTTCCAGACTTCAGCTCTCAAGTCTTCCAGCAGAGGTTCCAGACAGCAGGGAGCAGGGACAAGCCATTCCTGCTGTGCCCTGTTCAGATTTCTGAGCCACAGAATCCATGAACATAACGATTGGTTGTTTTATGCCACTAAATTTTGAAATAATTTGTTATTCAACCTTTTTCCCCTCTTTTCTCTGCCTCCTCTTCTTTCCTTCAAAAAATTATTTTAAAGACTTGGAATATTTGGAGGGCAGTCTTAAAAATAGGACCATTTCTTCAAAACCATACTAATTAGTAATTTAATCATGGGGTCCTTTGAAAATGTATTAGAAAAAAGCATTCACTTTTTTTTAAAAAGGACTTTTGTTAGAGCCAAATTATATAAAAGATATATATATATATATTTTTTTAACTCAGGACAATTCTACCAGCTTCACCTAAGGCCAAAAGCTATTTTCATTAGAGAAAAAAATGTTTTTCATTTCCTCAAATGGTAATATGTGCACCCAAGTAAGTACAAAGTTGAAAGTCAAAAGTTGTGATACAGCTGGCTGCATCACTTGATCTCTATCTGAATGTTAGTGGCATGATTATTGGAGTTCACTGTCCCAGCAGGGTGGGGGGACAACGCGGCAGCATCAAAAGGAAATTACATTTGCTAAAAAATATGGGTGAAAATGTATTCAGCAATTACCATAGGTCATCCATGCTGCACACAGCAAATGGCAGAGAAAAAGGGCTTCATATGGGAGGAGCAGAGAGGAGGGTTAGAACGGTGCTGTTGTGATGTGTGGAATCAAAATGGACCCCCCATCATGCAGGCTTGCGGCAAACAGCAGTATTAGTATAATGGCCTGTAATAAATTACCAGTAGTTTTTAAGATTTCCTTTTTGTTGTTTCAGGTCAGCAAAAATGCCATCATCTTTCCTTGCTTTGTGTTGTCTGCACTCCCCTTTTAGATCCAGATGACTCCCATTCTATTCCAGCTGGCTGCCTTTAGATTTTTGAATTAGCACTCAATATATTTTAATTCAATTTAGAAACTAATGGATGCCTGAACTTATTTAGCCCATCCATTCAAGCATCTTGAAGTGCGATTTTGATTGAGGCAATTTTTCCAATTACAATTTTAATTCTTCATTTTTCTTTATGTCTCTCAAAAATTAAACTCTGCTTTATTGATGACTGGGAAATTCTAGGTAAGCAGTCTAGTAAAGTAAAATATAAATGGCTCTTCCAAATGTTTTTTCCCAGTATGGTGGAAAAGATAAATATTAAATAATGTTGGATTTTTATAGATTATAACAGCCTTGTGTACAACTCACCTTATTTTTAACCAGATTTTATGGGTAGTCTGGGGGTCAAATTGTGCTTTCTCTAACCAGGAAAACGACAACAACACAGGAAATAAAGACCCAACTTGTCATGGTTAACCTATCAGACAGGGGTTTCTCTTATTACCTTGCTCCCAAGGGTTTTAAAAGGGTTCATATAGTTGCATTTAAGGACAAACTCAGTAGCTTTCCAGTTCAATAAGCTAAGTATATATTCCCTATGTCGTTTTGCTTTGCTTTTTGGAAGGGTCTTCCTTCACATTGGGAGAGAGATGCTTGATGCCAAAACAGAAATCAAGATATCATTCTCTCCACAACGAGAAGGAAGGGTTATTTTCCTGTTACCGAGAGCAAAATGTGTGGACAGCCTTTCCATTAACAGCCATGTTTAATCACCTAGAGTGGATAGTGGTAGCTCTTTCTTGGTCATCTCAGCAAACTTTTTCATCTCCCCTTTCTTGATAATGCACTAAGGACCCTGAATACAGGAATGGCCAGAGTTGGGGTAAGGCCTTGGTTCTGTTATCCATCTCTCTAGCAATAGAAATAGAAAAGTCTGGGCTCATGACCTACACAAAGACCAATCGACCCCTTAAGTGATGTCAGCTTATAGACATTGAGAGAATGAGGCTTGCACTTTCTGATAAGAGTATTTGTTTTGGCTAAGGTCCCTATGTTTCCTGTCATTCTGACTAACCGATTTCAATTAGAGGACATGACGCATAAGTGCAAGGAGAAACAGTGTTGCAATGATGAAAGATGGTTGTGGGGAGAGCATTTGTGTCCCAACAGCATGAAGTCACTCATTCTTCTCCTCTAGGTCCTAGATTTTTGCAACCTCCCCATCAAATCTGTAACCTACTCCAGTATTCCACCACATTACCAAGACATTTCTGTTTAGTAAAGTTTAGGCTGAGTTGGATTTCTATGACTTGTAATTAAGTCATGTTATGTTGGACTGCACAGGTAGGGAAATGTGTTTAGGTGAGTATTTCCTTTTTCCGTCGTACGAGATACATGGGGCTGGCCATCCCTATTACCCTTTTTTCAGTACCTTCTCCTCTTTCTATAAATTAATTCATAGAGATATTTATTAACAACCTACTATGTGCTGATTATTGAGGTTGCAAAGAGCAATAAGAAATGAATCCTATTTCCAGGAAGACTCTCTGGGACATGTAGATAACCACATAATAAGTCACATTTCCCAAAATATTTGGAAGAACACAAGTTATTTGGTGAAGAAAGGGATTCCTGGTTACAAAAATTTTATGATTGTATAAAATTGGGAAAAATGCATCAAACCATAATCCCTTAAGTTTCATAGTGCATATTAGCATATTAAAATATGCAGAAATGCTACATCTTTAGCCAAATATTTCACAATTTATAGAAAATGAAAACTGTAGTTCCCTGTATGACCTATTGACATTCCATGAAACTAGTGCTCTTTGGAAAGTATTTAAATAAAGATAGACCACTATGAAAGAATGGAAATGAGAGAATTGGGTCACTTTTGGAGGGGATAGAAATGACTTCACAGAGGAGGTAAGAACTTGAATTGAGCATTAATGAGTGAGTTTATCAGCTCTGGAAAGAGAAAGGTATTCCAGAAAAAGTTACGAGATGTAAAAAGGGAGAGATATAAGAATACAACTAAGGTTTACCTGGGAATATTTCTTATTTTATGGGACTAGAAATGGTAGCAAAAAGAAGAAGAATAAAGAGATTTTTTAAGAAGCCAGGATGGAGAGATATGAAGAGTCAGATAAAGACATTTGGGTTTCCCATTATAGTGAGAACCACTAAATACTGCTTTCTCCTACAAGGTATATATTTTATTTCAATCACAACATAGCACTTAATGTTTTGGAAACAAATATTTTAAAACATTTATCTAAGGTCTCTTTTCCTAACTGAAGTTTGAAAAATTTTGCCGATTGGAAGAATAAACGGGCTAAAATGGAGGGGTTTCATTTAGAAATAATGAGTTTTGTTTTCTTTCACCCCCAAAAGTTTATTCCCTCTGACATTCTCTCTTATTTACGTAGTGCCTGGCTTTAAATTGGAACAAACTCAGTGATAAACAATATCTTTGAGTGTTAACCACAAGGATATTTGCATTTTAGTAAGCTCCATTGTTTATCAAAAATTATTGGAAAGTCTCCCTCCATTCCATTTTACCTGTTTACACTCCTCTAAATCTGATTTGGAACTCCATCTCTTTCCTAACTTCTCTTCCGGAAACTCCAACCTACTCAGTCATTTAATATGCATTTTCTGAGTACTTAATGTCTGCTAGAATCTTTGCGAGGCACTGGAAATCTACTACAATGCAGGAACTGCAGGTATCAGTGAACTTTGAGTCTAGCGGAGAGTCAGAGATGCAAACAGAAATTCCAATGTGGTATCTAGATTAGGGTAAATACAAGATGCTGGAGGAGTATCCAGGTGGAATAGCTGTTAAGTATATGTGTGGGATCTATCTCTCTGTCTGTCTTATGAAGGGTCAGAGAGTCCTTCCCAGAGGAGATGACATCTAAAACTAAATTAAAAAGAATAAACAGTAATAATCCAGACATAAGAAAATGAGTGAGGGTAAGGTCATTCTGGGCAGTGAGAAGACAGCTTGCCAAAGGCCAGAGATGGGAGACCTTGGTATTCAGTCTGGCCTTGAATATGAAGAAGAATGTTGGGAGATAAAGCTGCAGAGACAGGCAGAGAATGAAGAACTCTTGTATCATTTAATGTAATTTTGATTTTTTCTGACATCTGTGGGGTATCCTCAAAGTGGTTTAAGCAGTGAAGGTGATTTAATTAAGTTTGCATTTTAAAAACACTAATCAAAGTTCAGTATGGGAGCAGAAAGACTGGAGTCTGCAAAGGCTGCTGAAATGGTCAAGGCTAGAGATGCTGGTGACCAGAACAAGGGAGGAGCAGTGGTGATGGTAGGAATAAGTTGTGGAGAGAGAGGGAGGAGGGAGAGAAGATGGGATTTGGTGAATGATTGGATATGGATATGAAGGGAAGAGAGGAGAAGAGTTTTGAATTGATTCTCCACCCTTTAACTTCTGTAACTATTGAGTTTATGAAGTGTCAGATGACTAAAAATATTCTATCTCATGTAGTTACTCACCTTCCCTTCTCATATGTCTTCTTTCCGCATCTAAGCATAAGTCTCACAAGGAACAGGGACATGTTTGTGTTATATGCATCACATGGAAAGCATATAGTAAGTGCTAAAAAGAAAAATAGTGAATCCTTTTTGTTTTTTTCTGAAAAAAAAGAGTCACATTTTGCTTTCATCTTTTTTTGTTAGAGAAAAAGCAGTGAGTGCTATTTGCCACACTGGGTTTTGAGAAGTTTAGTTTTTCTTTTCTCTTTCTATCTCTCTTTTTTTTTTTTTGACTTAAATACAAACTAATAGCATCTAACCAGATTCATAAATGTCTCTGTTACTTTATGTGGATGTTTTAAACATAATTTTGGTTGTTCTGTTTTCTCTTCCAGTTGCCCTTTAATGTCAGCTGAAAAGTCCTTTTTCCCTTCTCTCACTAATCATGGTCATCATACCTCTAGCAAACTTATCATGGTAGTCGCATTTTATAGTTCTAGGTCAACCCTGTCCTATGGGAGCAAACTAGGTATGGAGTGTCTGATCTGGGCCTTCTAAAATATAAATGAGGGAAGGGAGGACTGCCTTTGCTATATCAAAACACTCCAGCCCCAGTTCACTGAGCATTGTAGATTCTTCATTAATCAGAACGGGAAGTCCCGGAGACCTCACTGCTGGCTGCTCCTAAAATGTGTACCCCGTTCAGAAAGTCTGGATGAGCAGAGAGCCTGGGGGGCAGGCAGAGGTGGGAAAGAAAGACCTGCCATTTGTTTGTGCTTGCTATGGGGCCAGTCACTATGCCAAAACCCAGGGGAGTAGATATTTATCCCCACTTTACAAATGGGCAGACTAATGCATAAAAATTTAATCAATGTGCTCAAACCTATGCACAGGACAAGAGAAACAAGTGGAATGAACACCTGACAGCAAAGCTTTGGTCTATCCATCACCACTTGCAGCCTTTATTCTTTGTGGTTGGCTGGCGATAAAAACATGATGTAGATATTTGTAGCACTGAGCATGCATGAGGAGCACTAGCATAAAGAGGGGGACCCAGGCGAAGACTGGATTGTTTTTTATGCTGTCATGGACATTTGGAGACCTTGGTTCTGGTTCCGGTTCTGTTACTTTTAAGGCCTCTGGTTTTGAGCAATTTATTAAATCAACTTGGTCTTTAGTCAGGGTTGCTGTGTCTGGTTGTGCAGTTGGTGCACTGCACAAAAGCACTAGGCTAAGAGAAACCAGCCTGAAACAAGGCTGCATTTGCCCAGGGGAGCCACACAGGCTAACGTTGGCCTTGACTTTAGTTTTCGTATCTTCAGACTAGGTAAAGTCCTCAATGAGGAAGAGTATTATTATTATTCAAATAAGTGGAAAAACCAGTCCTTTTCTGTGTAACATTTTATAATGGATACTCTTACCAATTTTTTGGACCAATGTTATTTGTGAAGAAATATCTCTCAAGATATTACGACAGTAGGAATGAGAACTACATCTTTGAAGTTTATAGAATGAGGCATTTATTCCTGGCTCTAACACTTGCTAATTTTGTGAATTCTTATATCTGTAAAATGGGGATAACAATAATGCCTTCTTCATAGGATTGTGAAATTTCTGTGAATTAATACAAGTAAAGGTTTTAGAGCAGCACCTGACAGGGCTCACATTTATGGAGTACTTATTACTGTAGCTATTATTTTCCATTTATATCTACGTGTCTCCCCTCTAAAGACTCTGGAGCTTCCCTCACAAACAGTGAATAAGTTGTCAATTTTGACTTTTCATCCTTGAATATAGTTGCTGATTTCTCTGTAATACCTTTTCTGTTAGCAGGACTTATTTTTTTTTTAAATCACCCACCTCAAATTGACTTAAAACAACAACAGCAACAACTAGGATTGACAATGCAAGCAGATAGATCCAGAGGTTCAAATAATGCCAGGGGATGGAGGACTTTCCTTCCATCAGGTAACTGTTCTCATCTGTTTCAGCTTCACGAGTAAATGGAGTTGTCTACTCTGTAGGCTGAACAGCTCCTTGCTTATCCCTTTTTTATTCGAGTCTAGCAGAAACATTTTTCCTCTGTCCAAGGAATCAAATAAAAGTCCCTGAATGTAGTCTGTATGCCTTTTTGGAACATGTGTTTATCCCTGAATCAGATACTCTGGCTACAGCAGAGATGCTCTGATTGGCCAGGTTTGGGGCGTCTGCCTGTTCCTGGGACTAGAGGAAGGTATGAGGTCAAACAACATTTAACATGGGGACAGACAGCTTGTTCCTCAAAGGAAATTAGGGTGCTGTTGGCAGAAGAAGACAGAATATGTATTGGGAAGGCAAAAAATGACAGATGTCTACTATATTCCTCTTGCCCTTTTATGATGCTATTATTGTCTTTTGAAATCTACATTTAAAAATGGACCATCGTACAATAGTACTCCTTTAAGCTACGTGGAAAAACCGTTTTACACTGCAACTCAGACCATGTACATAAAGTGGTGGAGAAAACCATGGTTTGGGATTTTTCTTATTGTACATCTGCCTCAAATGAGTTGCGAAACCATTGAGAAGCATTCCTCTGTACATTGAGGAGGCTGCGCTGTGTCTTTAAGTATGCTTTCAACTCTAATGTTCTGTGATGGTCGTGAAATCATGCCCATTATTGGCAATCACTGATAACTTCGGGTTTTTTTTTTTTCCATCTCAAAGTAGAGAATGATGCATGTATCCCTTGCAAACTTTGGACTGTCATAAAATCTATAATCTATCACTTTCAAAAAACAGAAAAAGAGCACCGATACAAGATACCCGCTTCTCTCTAGATTGCCCTAGAGTGATACCTCCAGATTCTGAACAGAAAAGGTTGTGTTAGGAGAAAGGCACATTTTGTCTTTTACTTCCTTCTTTCCCCTCCAGCACCTTTGCCTCCACAAGGAAGGAATAATAGAGAGGAGGTAATATGTGACTGGGACAGAGGTGACCCCCTGGTTCCCTTGAAAGTTATATACTGGAAATAGCAGAGCTTCTTACCCTGCTTTCCTGAATGACTGAAATGCAGGGCAGGTGAGACCCAAATTGGGGCTTAGCTGGGGAAGGTTCTTGGCTTCGCTCAGGAAAGAATTGGAAAGCAAGCCAGTTGTAGAAGAAAACAGTTTTGTTGAGGCAGCTCCATGACTGCGTCTGCAGAGCAGGGCTACCCTCAGGTGGCGTGTGGAGAGTAGCAGCTCAGGGACAGTTCTGCAGTCATGTTTATACCCACTTTTGATTATATGCAAATTAAAGGGTGGATTATGTAGAAATTTCTAGAAAAAGTATATTTCTGGGTCGTTAGGCCATTGCCATGGAAAGGGGCAATGACTTCTGGGTGCTGCCATAGATAAACTGTCATGGCACTAGTGGGCATGTCTTACAGAGAGTTGCTTTTGCTTCTTGCCTGTTTTTGCTAGTCTTCAACCTGGTCTGAGTCTAAGCTCTATGTCCAGAGTCTGCTTCCTACTTCAACTGTAGGCAGCAGGCCCTCCCTCACCTCCCCTGCATCCTCTGTCAACTGATTTGGAACTACTAAGAACTGTTATGTGAGCAAGAAACAGTCTTCTGTGTGTTTAGCCACTGTCCTTTTGGTTTAATTTCCTACTGCAGCCCAATATAGCCTAATGCAATGTATTACAAATTTTGGAAGGGGATAATACTGGTTAGAAATCACAAACTACTGTACAAGTTTGGCCACACTATGTTTATTTTATTTTGATTGAATTGGTTGCCAATTGATTTTATTTAATATCCAGATTTCCAACGTCTCTTAAAAAATTAGAACTTGGCAATTCTTTGGCAAAATTAGAAGAACTGGCAATATTGCGATTTTACTCCTCATAAAGGCAATTTTCTGGAGCTTGGTAGCAGTTCTGTGCATGGGGCCCGTGTTCTCAAGTTGTCCACAGTTCCCATCATTGCCTCTAACATTCCTGGATGTTTCTGGCTTCACTCACTTATTTTTCTGACTTCTGTAGGTGTTTTAGTTTACACCCCTTATCTAAAGGGCAAACCATCAACTGCTCAGGGGCAGCCGCTGAAACAGCAGCCACCATGAGTACAAAAGTTCAGGAACTTACCTCGCTCAGGAATAAATTTGACTGCAGCATTTTAAAAATTGTGTATGTAAAATATGGTGCTAAGAAAAGTTTTAGTGCTTAGAAGAAATGACATTTAAAAATTTGGCATGAGTCCTTTTCCAGAACTTACTACGTCAGAAAATGGGATGTGCATGTGATTGTTTAAAAGTTTAACAAGCTAAATCTGAGTTTGCTTCACACTGCAGGCAGGACAGAAGTCTGGTTGTGCGGCGGGTCTTTACTGAGAGGGAATTTCCATCGGTGGGATTACTCAGTAAGGACAAGTGCCAAGCAGCATCCACTAACTTCTGTGTTTTCCTGTGTGAAGGAAAATAACACTCTTTCCTGCTGATCTTGGCATACTGAGCTTCAGTTCTTCTTAATTTAAATTCCCTTACATGTTTGGAGAAAACACTGGAAAACACCCAATCATTTGCCATCAAGGACATGAAGATGACAGAGAAGACTAGAAGGAGAATGATCCCTTGGGTGCACCACCTTCCTACCCAATTACCTGCAAGAAGCATTGACTTTTTCTCAAGCTGGGGATCATCTAAATAGTAGTGGTCATGAGGTGTTATTCAGAAGGGCAGACAGAAGAAAATAGCCCTGTGTGTGTTCTATCATGTTTTAGGTAGAACGTCCTGGTCAGAAAGCTTTTGTAATGCCAGAGAGCACTCACAGTTCCACCTGCCCCCAGCCTCTCTCTCACCTGTCTTCTTGTGTAGACCACTCATTGGCACAACTCTGAGTCCCGGTCTTTCTGGTTTGGCTGTGGGGCTGTTCCCTTGTGCTGTACCGCCAAGTCTCCTGCCAAACCTGCGCTGTTGGCATTCCCACCGCAGGTTGTGCTTACGTGTGCTTCTCACTTATTACATCTCTGAAATTCAATTAGTGCCCTCATGCTGTGGGAGGCCAGGGCGCTCTCAGAGAGCAGGGTAAAAACAACAAAAACAAAAACCAGAGCTTTTCTGTGGCTCTGTCTAGGTATTTTCATGAAGCCCTTACCTCGTCACAATTTAAATTCAGTCCACATCAAGGATCACAAATCAGCGGTTGTTGGAATGTATTATGAAGAAATAAACATTTATCAAATTGTTTTTCGAGGAGGTGAATAATTTAGCAAAAGAAAAAAATTACCACCACCGTCACCACAAAATTGTGCTGCTGACTGACAATTTATTTTATTCCCGTGAGAGGCGAAGAGCTGGCGCATGCTGAGTGCATATTGATCAGCTGGATGTGGAGAAATGGAATTTTTACATTCTTGGGTTACTAACTTGTTGCCAATTAAGAACCAAAAGACATTTAAATGCCCCCATAGTATTAGTAAAGACCCGAGAGTTTGCTGCTGACTAAGGTTGCTGGTTTGTTATTGCCAAGTTATTGCTTAATTATGAGTTATTGCAGGAGTACTGGAGAGAAGCCTTACTTCTTGGTCTATCCGTGTAAAGTTGTATTTCTTCCTAGAGAATATTTTTCTGAACATCTATTGATTTCATCTTTTCTAATATGTATTAAGCACTTACATTGTGTTAGGCACTATACCATCTCTTTTTATATAACTGATCTAATTTATTTCTAACAACCCTGTGTGATAGGTCCTGTTATTTTAATTTTACCCATGGGGATATGAATGCTCAGAGAGGTATATTCCCTTTCCCCAAGGTCACACAGCTTGTGACTCTCAAAGCAAAAGTTTGTGTCCAGCTCAGTCTAATTCTAAAGGCTTTGCTCATAAACACAACTGTATCCCATATTATTTCAGACACAAGCCCCTTATGACCGACTTCAAGTCATCCTCCATGAATATTCATGATTTTGGGAGTCAATGATGCCATCTTCCTTTTCAACAAATGGAGTAATAAATAGGAGTTTTTCTAAGCTTAAAATCAACAGCCTCTGGAAACTCACATAGGGAGCCCTTCACCTGTGAACAGAACCAGGGCTGCTTGATTGGCATTTCATCCAGCTCACTGGTAACACATTAAGCACCTGCTGTGTGTTCCTGGGTGAGGAGGAAGACAAAACAGAGCAGTGAGAGAGTATTTGTAGGCACTGGATTGGATTGGAGGGCAGTGAGAGATTATGGGCAACAGAATCCATTGCACAGTGTTGAAGTTGGAATGTAGAATTGGTCCTGCATTAGTCTGTTTTTACCTTGCTATAAAGAAATACCTAAGGCTGGGTAATTTATAAAGAAAAAAAGATTTAATTGGCCCATAGCTCTGCACCCTGTACAGGAAGCATGATGCTGGCATCTGTTTGGCTTCTGGGGAGGCCTCAGGAAACTTAACAATCATGGTGGAAAATGAAGGGGGAGCAGGCATGTCACTTGGCCAGAGCAGGAGCAAGAGAGAGAGGTGCCACACGTAAACAGCCAGATCTCATGTGAAGTCACTCACTATTGCAAGGACAGCACCAAGGGCATGGTGCTGAACCATTCATGAGAAATGCACTCCCATGATCCAGTCACCTTCCACCAGGCCGCAATTCCTATACTGGGGGTTACAATTCAACATCAGATTTGAGGGGCGGGGTGGGGGAAACACATCTGAACTATATCAGGTTTTTTAAGTTAGATATCTAACTTCCGTAAGTATGTCATGTTTCAGCCTAAGTTCCTTGAACTGATAAATGAGGCTGATGGTACTTTATGTGTAGGATATTTGTCTCTTTGCCCTCAGAGTCAGTCTTAACCCTTCCTCAGCTCTGAATCACAGTGGGGTCTGACACCTGCAAGCTCCCTTCTTAATTGGCTTATCCTAGGTTTGGCCCACAGAAGGCACTGGTGGGAGAGTAAAAGGTGAAGAAAGGGAAAAGTGAGAGTATTTCTCCCTGTGTGGGCACCATGCAGCCCCTCTGGCAGCAGCTGCCTTTCCTCCACTGTTCCAGCTCCCACAGGACAAGGTGACTACCGCTGCAGCTTCCCTCACAGATGGGTATGGTGACATGCCTTCTCCCTGGTCTCTCCAGCCCTGAGCTAAGAGCTTATATTCTGGGTAGCCTTGCCATTCCTGTTAGGCTTCTCAACTCTCCCATACCCAGTGTATTGGATTTCATACATTCGGTTTCTTCTGTTTGAAGTATCTAGAGTGGTTTCTGTTTTTCTAACGAGTATGACTGATAAATGTTACTTTCAGTTGTGCTAGGATTAAGTGGAGAAATGCATTTATAGCACCTAGCATAGAAGAGGTGCCCAGTAAACCTAAAAATGCTTTAGGATACAGGGATAGTGAGGAAGATAAAAATCTAAAGAATAATGATAAAGTAGATCGTAACTGAGGTAGTAGAAAGTGCTTCAGGTGTCTGAAACCTCGTGTTTAATTTCTGGCTCTCAGTTTAGCCATCTATGAGAAATTAAGTGAATACCTTAGGTGCAAATGGACTCAGTTTACTTACCTGTTAAATAAGACATTTGGAAAATAAAGTCTTCCTCAGCTACAAAGAGATACATATTAATTTGGTTTAGAATAAATGGTGGTGCTCAGGGAGAACTTCATTAAGAGGAAAAATTTAGCTGAGTCCTCAGAAATGATTTAACCTAGAGGCTATAAATGTCACAGCCAGACTGGACAGCTGGTCAGGGTGTGAACGTGTTAGATAAGGGCACTGGAAAAGATTATGTCAGAAAGCCAGACAGCTCTCTACAAGGCCCAAGGAGAACCAAGTCTGTTGCAGATGTTTAGGAGTCTTCAATCAGGAGAAAAGGAATACGATCTGATGACATTCCCAAATTCCTCCCACTCCTTATTTTATCCTTCTCTTGCCACAAACCCTAATCTTAGAAATCCTGCAGAGAAATAACAATGAAGACTTCTAGCAAGTTGTGATATTCTATTTCTTAGTGAGAAATTTTGCCCTGTACTTCTGCCTCTTAATCGGATATTTTGGGATCCAAATGACTTCTCAAGAGAGATCATCCTTCGTATCCTAAAACAAATAGGGGTGTCAGTGGGATATCTGCTACTCAGAGTTGTAGATAGTTTTTGAAACCTGAAGGTAACCTATGATACAGCCTCTGCAGAAACTCCAGAACCTTTCCTTTCCTAGGTAAGTAAAGAACTGTAAGCAGATAAGTCAGGATTCCTGGGACGAGGACCTTGCTACAGTGTTGTGATTTATTTTAACGTCCTCAGATATATTTGAATAAAGCCCTCCAAACAACTCAATAGTTGGAGATTGGTCTAGGACAACTTGGAAAACTCTGCCTTTAGAATTTTGGATGCATTAAACATTTTGGCATTTTCAGTGGCTAGAGGCTAAGAAAATATTTACTGGGCGCAGAACATCTTTTCATCTGGGAGTGAAACCTGTCCGTTTTTTGTAGTTAGTGTTTTCTCCTGCGGGCTTTCTCACATGATGTTAATGAGGAAGTAGTTAAGTTGGAGTGAGTGGGATGGAAGGAATGGGAATATACATTTACAAATAACTGTTGCACTTTTCTATCTAAGTTTGTACTGCCAGATAACTTGGCAGGCACCAGAAACAGCTATTGCAGGACTAGAAAGTTACATGAATACCAGAGGGAAAAAACTGATTTGCTCACTAGGAGACTCTATTAAGTGAACATCTGTTAACTGTAAAAATCCCATGCACCAAATGGGAAAATATAATGAAACTGAGAGGTTTCGAGCAAATTAAAATCATAAAATACCAGTGGGCAGGAATCGCTGTGTGTTTCACCATTCTGAAATTTACACGGAAACTTGGAGCCAGGCAAAACAAAGCAGAAACACTTAAGCTTATTTACTCTAGGTGTGGAATAGAGCTATCCTGTGCTTTGGAAGAAAGCTAGGAGTTGGGGGAAAATGTGCTCAGTTAGGAAGTTCACGTGTAAAGCTCCCCAGCTGATAAATATTGATACAATGAAAGATCGTGGCTCTGCAGTAGAAGAGCTCTAGTCAGAACAAGAAATGTCTGGGACTTGGCTCTATACTTTGAAGAGTTGGGGACTGTTACAGATTTGTGCTGTCCAGATGCTACTGGATTCCTAAAGGAGGGAAGGGAGAATCAGGGAATGTGTGGTTTTTCCTTATGGTGTGTGCCTAAGAAGAATGCCTTAGCAATGTGGTGTGTGGAGGGAATTGTGTTTAAAATGCTCATCCCATTTGGTGCATTGAATACAAAGGACAATGCCAGATTGGGATTTATGCATGCTCACAGTTGTGGAAATTCCATTAGCTGTTTCCTTGGTTGTTTTGAATTGTAACCATCCTAGACTGGGCAACAAGAAGAAAACACAGGTTAACTAGGAAGAACAGATCTATGTCGAAGATAAGGTGAGGTCAGTTTAATTTCAATACTATATAAATCCCTGTGGCTCTGTGGGCATTTGTTATATTAATGGCTTTGAACATTTTAGCAGTGGCATTAGAGTTATTTAATCTTGTGATTATCTGCACTGATTTCCTATGGGAGCAAAGGAGGGGTGGAGAGTTAACAAGGGAATGTGAAGCATAACGAAGGGGTCAAAGGTACCTAGCACATGAGAAAAATTTTGATTATTGTCAGGTGCATATAAATGGAAGGGGCTTCTGGAAAGATGTGCTCTGCCCCATGTTTTGCTGAGCTTTAATTGGAGACCTAGCTTCCCTAATTGTGTGGTGAGGTCCAGCTACTGTAGTTAAGAGGAAAGCTGTATATCAGGGGGCAGAGGGTAAAGCTTTTAAATAAGGCTTCTTTCCCAAATGCCTAAGCAAGAAATTGGAACAGAAATATACTGTAGAGCTAAAAAGTCTTAAAGTGCCTCTTAAATCTTTACTACAATTACCATAATGTAGAATAATAGAGCCGATACTATTTTTAAAAGCTTTTGAAGGTTGCAAGTAGCAGCCATAAATTGTGGGTTGCAGAAAATCTGTAACTGTAGTTTTTCAGAGGCTTTTTATTTTAATGAAAGAGAAAAGGTTTTAATAAAACCAGAGAGAACTAATAGGGGACATTATGAGGTAATGGGAATGTCTCCTTAGCTCTAGAAGTGCAGAGGAGTCTAAATGATTGGTCAGTGTGTGCTTATTAAAAAAAGAATCAGACTCTCCTTCCTGGCCACATTTGGGGACATTCAGGTAAGTTTGATTTATTAAGTCAACAGTATGAAGGTAGCCAAGCGTGACAGCGACAGTGAAAAGTAATCTGACACTGGCCAAGATGTAAATCTTTTGGAGAAAATGAAATAGATATTCTGGCTTCCTCTGTGCAAAACAACAACGAAAACAACAAAATGCCATTAGGATGCCCTTGATGTAAAGAGAAACTCAGTACCAATGACCCGATTGCCCTGGTGAAAATTGTTCCCATGTCTATTGAGATGTGTTGTGGGTGGAGTTCTGAAAGAGAAACGTCTGGTCCGGAAGGGATGCTTACAGATAGCTTCCCTCCCCTACCTCTCTATCCTCCTCCCCTGCACATTCTTTCAAACAGAAGAAAAGCAAATCTCTTTTCAGCGTCTACAGTTAGATACTAATCAAGGACGCCATTCCCATTCCCATTTGAGATCAGTGATTAATCCATCATGTATCCACAAAAAGTCAATAATGATTTGATAGTTGAGAGGAATGTTGTTATTAACAGCAAGTGGGTCTGGTAGGATAGTTTAGCAGATGGAATCGGAGTGTTTTCAACTACAAAACCCTTCTCAGCTCTACGGGCTATGATGATGACCAGGCCAATAATGCAGAGGCAGAACCGCATGTTGGGGGAGAAGGATTTTTTCTTTATGTCCCGCTTTCCTTCTTTTACTCCCTTCTTCCGCACATGTTGAGCAAAAGCTCTTTGAAGGTGAGGACCATCACGGTGTCAGGGAGGAAACGCATAAGGCAGTTAGAGTGTAACGTGAAACAGCAGTGACAGTGGTGACGGGGCACGATGGTGGGTGCACACACCCTCAAAGCACCAGGGAGGGTGGCCGAAGGCAGTAATTGGCCTGAAAATGTGACCTCCAAAAGGAGCTTTGATGGAAGAGTTGGATGGGGATGAAAGGGAGGTGGGAGAGAGGAGTGAGGAATGAACAACAATAGAAGACTAACACATTGCCCGTGTGCTGGGGGCAACAACTGTTTGAGGTGGACAGGCGAACAGAGCTAGGATCACAATGGTGATGGACATGGTGCTTGGTGCTCAGGATCTTTTAATAAACATTTACTGGAAAAAATTTATGAATATCTGACCAGTTGTTGGCTTTTCGTTAGTAATCATCGTAATTATAAGCCTCTGATTCCATCTAGTCAATTTCTGCCTTTTTCGTTTTTAGTGACAATGCCAAAGTATGTGTATGTCTACTTTTTTTTTACTCATGTGATTCTTTGCCCGTGTGTTTTTTACCAGCCATTTTCCAAGACAATGCCAATGCTGTCTTCTCCACAGAGTTTTTCCTCTGTGATCTGTGGGATGTAAATATTCTTTACTCTTCCATGATGGACTTTTGTACCACTTATGCCTCCATTTCTCCTGTTATGTTATTGCAGTTATTTATGAATCTCTCTTTTTCCTTATGTGATTCTGACCTTCTTGGGGGCAGTTAATATGATTTTTGTTTCGTTTTGCATTTCTTTAACTACCTAACACAAGATTGAAACTTAATATTTGTTTAAATGAGTGAACAATGGATTAGTAGATCTCATCAAAATGTCTTCTGGTGTAAAGAGAATCTTTGTTTTAATTCTGTTTTCTCTGGTTTTTGTTAATTTTATATTATTTCTTTTTGACAGCACTTTAGTAACTCCTCCAATAATCTCGTCATTGACACTGCTGTTGTGTGTCGGTGCTGAGATACAAAGGAGAATAAGATGTCTCTAAGATTTTACATTTAGGCAAGAGAAGAGTGAGAGGCACTTAAAAATGATAGTATAACGGAATAGATAAGCACTAGAAAAAGAGACGTATACCATGTACTTTCAGAAAGCAAGGAAGGAAAGGACCAAATGTGCCTCAGGAAGATATCATAGCAGATGTATGGGTATTGTGACTCACTATTTTTAAATTATCACTTTATTCATGAACTCCAGAGTAAAGGACAGACTTAATATTCTACTTTATAAGTTTGATTTTGGATACATTTGTTTTTGTCCTTTATTTTAGATAATTTATGGCTTTTTTATTATAGTCATAAATCATGTGGAAAACTTAAAAAGAGAAAATTTTCATGAAGTTAAAAATTACTCATAATTCTATTGCTTGGAAATAATTCCAGCTAACATTTTTACATGCTTGCTTGTTTCCGCCTCTCCCTTCTCTCCCTCTCTCATTTATATGTATATGAAAATAGAACAATACATTTAAAAACTAATTGGGATTATGCTACATACATTTTTATATCCTTATTCCCCTTCCTCCGATTTCAATTCTATAGCACTACAAAAAACATGTCTGTACCAACAGAGAATATATATTTCGTTCCATCAGCTTACAAAAATAAAAACTATAAGTTTTTTAGTTTTATTTTCTTTATTTTTTGTTCTATAAATGTATCAATAAGAGTAGAGAGAAATGAACCCCTTATATGTGCTTTACCCAGCTATAGTAACAAATAAACAAATGGCCACTCTGGTTCCATTTATACCTGTGCATATTCTTCACCTTCTCCCCAAACGCATTTGCAAGTACCAGAAATGTTTCATTATGCATCTCTGATTCCCTAATATTATCAAAAATCCAGTTAGTGCAACTTTTAAAAAATTGTAGTCTGTTAAAATTAGAATAGAAATAAAATCTACACATTGAATTTGACTGCTATATTTCTTAAATTACTTTTTATCTTCTTACAATTTATTTGGTTAAGAAACAATGTAAACTACATTGTTTGTTCTATAGTATTTCCCTTATTCTGAAGTTTGCTGATTGTGACCACTTGTTATTTAATATGCTCCTCTATACCCTGTATTTTTTTTTTTTTTTTTTGAGACCGAGTCTCACTCTCACCCAGGCTGGAGTGCAGTGGCATTATCTCGGCTCACTGCAACCTCTGCCTCCTGGGTTCAAGCGATTCCTCTGCCTCAGCCTCACAAGTAGCTGGGATTACAGGCATCCACCACCACGCCTGGCTAATTTTTGTATTTTTGGTAGAGATGGGGTTTTGCCATGTTGGCCAGGCTGGTCTCAAACTCTTGACCTCAGGTGATCCACCTTCCTCGGCCTCCCAAATTGCTGGGATTACAGGCATGAGCCACTCACTGTGTGCAGCTTACCCTGTATTTCTTATAAACTCATTTTTTGCATCTAGAGGTTTGATCTGATTCACGTTATTTTATTGTATTATTTTTGGTCAAAATACATATTAGGTTATTTTGTGTACTTTCATTAGGAGACAAATGATGTAAATCGTCTGTTTTGTGATGTTAACAGACTAGATGATCATTGCCCAGATCTATTATTTAGGGCAAATTAAGGGTTTACTAAATGATATTTTTTATTTTTCTTTTTATATATATATTATACTTTAAGTTCTAGAGTACATGTGCACAACGTGCAGGTTAGTTACATATGTATACATGTGCCATGTTGGTGTGCTGCACCCATTAACTCCTCATTTACATTAGGTATATCTCCTAATGGTATCCCTCCCCCTGCCCCCACCCCACAACAGGCCCCAGTGTGTGATGTTCCCCTTCCTGTGTCCAAGTGTTCTCATTGTTCAATTCGTACCCATGGGTGAGAACATACGGTGTCTGGTTTTTTGTCCTTGTGATAGTTTGCTGAGAATGATGGTTTCCGGCTTCATCCATGTCCCTACAAAGGACATGAACTCATCATTTTTTATGGCTGCATAGTATTCCATGGTGTATATGTGCCACATTTTCTTAATCTGGTCTATCATTGTTGGACATTTGGGTTGGTTCCAAGTCTTTGCTATTGTCAGTAGTGCCGCAGTAAACATATGTGTGCATGTGTCTTTATAGCAGCATGATTTATAGTCCTTTGGGTATATACCCAGTAATGGGATTGCTGGGTCTAATGGTATTTCTAGTTCTAGATCCCTGAGGAATTGCCACACTGTCTTCCACAATGGTTGAACTAGTTTACAGTCCCACCAACAGTGTAAGTGTTCTTATTTCTCCACATCCTCTCCAGCACCTGTTGTTTTCTGACTTTTTAATGATTGCCATTCTAACTGGTGTGAGATGATATCTCATTGTGGTTTTGATTTGCATTTCTCTGATGGCCAGTGATGATGAGCATTTTTTCATGTGTCTGTTGGTTGCATAAATGTCTTCTTTTGAGAGGTGTCTGTTCATAGCCTTTGCCCACTTTTTGATGGGGTTGTTTGTTTTTTTCTTGTAAATTTGTTTGAGTTCATTGTAGATTCTGGATATTAGCCCTTTGTCAGATGAGTAGATTGCAAAAATTTTCTCCCATTCTGTAGGTTGCCTGTTCACTCTGATGGTAGTTTCTTTTGCTGTGCAGAAGCTCTTTAGTTTAATTAGATCCCATTTGTCAATTTTGACTTTTGTTGCCATAGCTTTTGGTGTTTTAGGCATGAAGTCGTTGCCCATGCCTATGTCCTGAATGGTATTGCCTAGGTTTTCTTCTAGGGTTTTTATGGTTTTAGGTCTGACATGTAAGTCTTTAATCCATCTTGAATTAATTTTTGTATAAGGTGTAAGGAAGGGATCCAGTTTCAGCTTTCTACATATGGCTAGCCAGTTCTCCCAGCACCATTTGTTAAATAGGGAATCCTTTCCCCATTTCTTGTTTTTATCAGGTTTGTCAAAGATCAGATAGTTGCAGATGTGTGGTATTATTTCTGAGGGCTCTGTTCTGTTCCATTGATCTATATCTCTGTTTTGGTACCAGTACCATGTTGTTTTGGTTACTGTAGCCTTGTAGTGTAGTTTGAAGTCAGGTAGCGTGATGCCTCCAGCTTTGTTCTTTTTGCTTAGGATTGTCTTGGCAATGCGGGCTGTTTTTTGGTTCCATATGAACTTTAAAGTATTTTTTTCCAATTCTGTGAAGAAAGTCATTGCTAGCTTGATGGGGCTGGCATTGAATGTATAAATTACCTTGGGCAGTATGGCCATTTTCATGATATTGATTCTTCCTATCCATGAGCATGGAATGTTCTTCCATTTGTTTGAGTCCTCTTTTATTTTGTTGAGCAGTGGTTTGTAGTTCTCCTTGAAGAGGTCCATCACATCCCTTCTAAATTGGATTCCTAGGTATTTTATTCTCTTTGAAGCAATTGTGAATGGGAGTTCACTCATGATTTGGCTCTCTGTCTGTTATTGGTGTATAAGAATGCTGGTGATTTTTGCCCATTGATTTTGTATCCTGAGACTTTGCTGAAGTTGCTTATTAGCTTAAGGAGATTTTGGGCTGAGACGATGGGGATTCTAGTTATAGAATCATGTCATCTGAAAACAGGGACAATTTGACTTCCTCTTTTCCTAATTGAATACTCTTTATTTCTTTCTCCTGCCTGATTGCCCTGGCCAGAACTTCCAACACTATGTTGAATAGGAGTGGTAAGAGAGGGCATCCCTGTCTTGTACCAGTTTTCAAAGGGAATGCTTCCAGTTTTTGCCCATTCAGTATGATATTGGCTGTGGGTTTGTCATAGATAGCTGTTATTATTTTGAGATACATCCCATCAATACCTAATTTATTGAGAGTTTTTAGCATGAACGGCTGTTGAATTTTGTCAAAGGCCTTTTCTGCATCTATTGAGATAATCATGTGGTTTTTGTCTTTGGTTCTGTTTATATGCTGGATTACGTTTTACTGATTTTCATATGTTGAACCAGCCTTGCATCCCAGGGATGAAGCCCACTTGATCTTGGTGGATAAGCTTTTTGATGTGCTGCTGGATTCGGTTTGCTAGTATTTTATTGAGGATTTTTGCGTCGATGTTCATCAGGGATATTGGTCTAAAATTCTCTTTTTTTGTAGTGTCTCTGCCAGGCTTTGGTATCAGGATGATGCTGGCCTCATAAAATGAGTTAGGGAGGATTCCCTCTTTTTCTAGTGATTGGAATAGTTTCAGAAGGAATGGTACCAGTTCCTCCTTGTACTTCTGGTAGAATTAGGCTGTGAATCCGTCTGGTCCTGGACTTTTTTTGGTTGGTAAGCTATTAATTATAGTCTCAATTTCAGGGCCTGTTATTGGTCTGTTAAGAGATTCAACTTCTTCCTGGTTTAGTCTTGGGAGGGTGTATGCACCAAGGAATTTATCCATTTCTTCTAGATTTTCTAGTTTATTTTTGTAGAGGTGTTTGTAGTATTCTCTGATGATAGTTTGTATTTCTGTGGGATTGGTGGTGATATCCCTTTTATCATTTTTTATTGCATCTATTTGATTCTTCTCTTTTTTCTTCTTTATTAGTCTTGCTAGGGGTCTATCAATTTTGTTGATCTTTTCAAACAACCAGCTCCTGGTTTCATTGATTTTTTGAAGGGTTTTTTGTGTGTCTATCTCCTTCAGTTCTGTTCTGATCTTAGTTATTTCTTGCCTTCTGCTAGCTTTTGAATGTGTTTGCTCTTGCTTCTCTAGTTCTTTTAATTGTGATGTTAGGGTGTCAATTTTAGATCTTTCCTGCTTTCTCTTGTGGGCATTTAATGCTATAAATTTTCCTCTACACACTGCTTTAAATGTGTCCCAGAGATTCTGGTATGTTGTGTCTTTGTTCTCGTTGGTTTCAAAGAACATCTTTATTTCTGCCTTCATTTCGTTATGTACCCAGTAGTCATTCAGGAGCAGGTTGTTCAGTTTCCATGTAGTTGAGTGGTTTTGAGTGAGTTTCTTAATCCTGAGTTCTAGTTTGATTGCACTGTAGTCTGAGAGACAGTTTGTTATAATTTCTGTTATTTTACATTTGCTGAGGAGTGCTTTACTTCCAACTACGTGGTCAATTTTGGAGTAGGTGCAGTGTCGTGCTTAGAAGAATGTATATTCTGTTGATTTGGGGTGGAGAGTTCTGTAGATGTCTATTAGGTCTGCTTGGTGCATAGCTGAGTTCAATTCCTGGATATCCTTGTTAACTTTCTGTCTTGTTGATCTGTCTAATGTTGACAGTGGGGTGTTAAAATCTCCCATTATTATTGTGTGGGAGTCTAAGTCTCTTTGTAGGTCTCCAAGGACTTGCTTTATGAATCTGGGTGCTCCTGTATTGGGTGCATATATATTTAGGATAGTTAGCTCTTCTTGTTGATTTGATCCCTTTACCATTATGTAATGGCCTTCTTTGTCTCTTTTGATCTTTGTTGGTTTAAAGTCTGTTTTATCCGAGACTAGGATTGCAACCCCTGCCTTTTTTTGTTTTCCATTTGCTTGGTAGATCTTCCTCCATCCCTTTATTTTGAGCCTATGTGTGTCTCTGCAAGTGAGATGGGTTTCCTGAATACAGCACACTGTTGGGTCTTGACTCTTTATCCAATCTGCCAGTCTGTGTCTTTTAATTGGAGCATGTAGCCCATTTACATTTAAGGTTAATATTGTTATGTGTGAATTTGATCCTGTTATTATGATGTTAGCTGGTTATTTTGCTCATTAGTTGATGCAGTTTCTTCCTAGCCTTGATGGTCTTTACAATTTGGCATGTTTTTGCAGTGGCTGGTACCGGTTGTTCCTTTGGCATGAGCCGAAGCAGGGCGAGGCATTGCTTCACCTGGGAAGCACAAGGGGTCAGGGAATTGCCTTTCATAGCCAAGCAAAGCTGTGACAGATGGCACCTGGAAAATCGGGTCACTCCCACCCTAATACTGCGCTTTTCCAATGGTCTTAGCAAACGGCACACCAGCGGATTATATCCCGCACCTGGCTTGGAGGGTCCCACGCCCACGGAGCCTCACTCATTGGTAGCACAGCAGTCTGAGATCGAACTGCAAGGCAGCAGCGAGGCTGGGGGAGGGGCGCCCATCATTGACGAGGCTTGAGTAGGTAAACAAAGGGGGCTGGGAATCTCGAACTGGGTGGAGCCTACCGCAGCTCAAGGAGGCCTGCCTGCCTCTGTACACTCCACCTCTGGGGGCAGGGCATAGCCGAACAAAAGGCAGCAGAAACCTCTGCAGACTTAAATGTCCCTGTCTGACAGCTTTGAAGAGAGTAGTAGTTCTCCCAGCATGGAGTTTGAGATCTGAGAATGGACAGACTGCCTCCTCAAGTGGGTCCCTGACCCCTGAGTAGCCTGTCTGGGAGGCACCCCCCAGTAGGGGCAGACTGACACCTCACACGGCCGGGTACCCCTCTGAGACAAAACCTCCAGAGGAACGATCAGGCAGCAACATTTACTGTTCAGCAATATTTGCTGTTCTACAGCCCCCGCTGCTGATACCCAGGCAAACAGGGTCTGGAGTGGACTCCAGCAAACTCCAACAGACCTGCAGCTGAGGGTCCTGACTGTTCAAAGGAAAACTAACAAACAGAAAGGACATCCACACCAAAACCCCATCTGTATGTCACCATCATCAAAGACCAAAGGTAGATAAAACCACAAAGATGGGGAAAAACAGAGCAGAAAAACTGAAAATTCTAAAAATCAGAGCGCCTCTCCTCCTCCAAAGGAACGCAGCTCCTCACCAGCAATGGAACAAAGCTGGACAGAGAATGACTTTGACGAGTTGAGAGAAGAAGGCTTCAGATGATCAAACTTCTCCAAGCTAAAGGAGGAAGTTTGAACCCATTGCAAAGAAGTTAAAAACCTTGAAAAAAGATTACATGAAAAAAGATTACACAAATGGCTAACTAGAATAACCAATGCAGAGAAGTCCTTAAAGGACCTGATGGAGCTGAAAACCATGGCACGAGAACCACATGATGAATGCACAAGCCTCAGTATCCGATTCGATCAACTGGAAGAAAGGGTATCAGTGATTGAAGATCGAAGGAGTGAAATGAAGCAAGAAGAGAAGTTTAGAGAAAAAAGAATAAAAAGAAATGAACAACGTCTCCAAGAAATATGGGACTATGTGAAAAGACCAAATCTACATCTGATTGGTGTACCTGAGAGTGATGGGGAGAATGGAACCAAGTTGGAAAACACTCTGCAGGGTATTATCCAGGAGAACTTCCCCAACCTAGCAAGGCAGGCCAACATTCAAATTCAGGAAATACAGAAAACACCACAAAGATACTCCTCGAGAAGAGCAACTCCAAGACACATAATTGTCAGATTCACCAAAGTTGAAATGAAGGAAAAAATGTTAAGGGCAGCCAGAGAGAAAGGTCAGGTTACCCACAAGGGGAAGCCCATCAGACTAACAGCTGATCTCTTGGAAGAAACTCTATAAGCCAGAAGAGAGTGGGGGCCAATATTCAATATTCTTAAAGAAAAGAATTTTCAACCCAGAATTTCATATCCAGCCAAACTAAGCTTCATAAGTGAAGGAGAAATAAAATCCTTTACAGACAAGCAAACACTGAGAGATTTTGTCACCACCAGGCCTGCCCTAAAAGAGCTCCTGAAGGAAGCACTAAACATGGAAAGGATATATTTTATTTTTCTTAAAGATGTGATTCCATTGTCTTTCAGATTGCATAGTTTCTGATGAGAAGTCTTTGAGAATTTTTACGTTTTTCTCTTCCATATATGTAACTTGGATTATTTTTCTCTGGCTGCTTTAAATATTTTCTCTTTATCACTGTTTTTCAGCAGTTTGATTATCATATGCATTGGTATAGTTTTATTTGTATTTTCCTTGAGGTTTCTGGACCTTTTCGATCTGTGGGTCCGAGTTTTCATCAAATTTGGCACAATTTTGACCATTGTTTCTTCAAATACTTTTTCTGTCCCTGACACCATTCTTCTGCTTAATAGTTTCCTATAATCTATTGTGACTGTTTTAGTTATTACTTTTTCCTCTGTGCTTTATTTTTGTGTATTTTTTGCTATATTTTCAAGTTCACTTTGTTCTGCAAAGTGAATCTGCTGTTAAGTCTTTCCAATGAATTTTTCACTTCAGGTATTTTATTTTTCATGCTAGAAGTTCCATTTGACCTTATATCATCTGTATCTCTTCTCAGTATGTTTATGGCTTCTTTTAACTGTTTGAACATAGTTATACTAGCTGACAAATCTGTGTCTACTAGCTCCATTATCTGTGTCACTGCTGAAAGGTTTTTTTTTTTTTTTTTCTTGACTGATTTTTCTCCTAGTTTTGGGTAACATCATTGCTGGAGCAGAATGAGCTACTTATTTTAGTTTATTTTTGATAGGGATATAAGCTCCATGAAGATAGGGCCTTATCTGTCTTATTCCCTGCTAAATCCCCAACTCCTGGAATAGGGATTAAGTAAGTTTATCTGCCATGTCAGTGGCAAAGCTGGAGCTGAAAATCCAGCTAGGGTTCTGTGGATGGTTAAAACCTGAGATGTGCATATATTAACCAAGGACTCATTCTGGTCTGAGAAAATATCTCTTATTTATTTGCCTTTAATTTTGTCCTCTCTGTCCCTTCCCATGCCCACCATTATGTCTTCTATGATCTATCATTTATAGAAAAAACTCTAGACATGCCTCTTTTGTTTTTTGTCCTAGAAAATAAGTTGAAGAAGCAAACAACAGTTTGGCCACTAGCTTGTTACTTGGGGAGGGTGAGGAAATACAGAGAGAACAAATCAAATGAACATTTGTAGAAATTATTCTGATTTATACACACATACATATGTCTGGTTAGTTCTATAATATAGAGTCCTAGAAGTGGGATTGTAGGGTCTTGCCAAAGTGCTGTCTAGTATATAGAGAATATTTGGGTTGAACATTAGCCAGATTTTCCAGATAAGAAGTTAAATGGAGAGTTCTACAACACAGTGATGGTTTATTTTGGTTCCCTCCTTAAGTCTATACTCATTCAACAGCAAGTGCTCTGTCAGCATCTAAAAACCCTAGGTGTTGCCACATTATCGAATCCAAAGTTGCACTTGTTTATTGAGTTCCAATAGCATCCAGTCTTCACCAACCCTCTGATCAGTCCATGGTTGGAGGAGTAGTTCAAAAGACATGACATGAAGAGCAGAAAAAAGGAATCTGTTGTACATTTATTAGACTCATCCATTTCATCCCTCTTAATAATTTCTTGTTTCTATTCCAAAGCAGTATCTTGATATGAGTGCATTAGATTTAGGTGCAGAAGCCTTTTGTCATTTACAGAAATACAATACATCATAGGCAGGAGAAAAACAAAACCCAAGACAAAAACAATGAAAAGATGTTAGCTCTGTGTTTTTTTCCATGACACTAAAATTATATTTATTATGGGTTTCAGTGTATAATAGCATTTGATCACTGGTCAAGCATATGCTTTCTTTCTTTTACATCTTTCCCAATTTTAATAATTAATATTTAATTACAAAAGTTTACTATGACATTACTTATTGAAAGTTTCACTGAAGTGGTGAACTTTTTAAATTTATAATTGATTAATATGTATTAAGGATATTGCTATGGACTAAATGTGTCCCCCCAGAATTTATATGCTGAAACCCTGACCCCTATTGGAATAGTATTAGGGGATAGGGACTTTTGGAAGTAATTAAGTTTATATGAGGTAATGTATTAGTGAATTTTCATACTTCTGATAAAGACTTACCTGGGACTGAGAAGAAAAAGAGGTTTAATTGGACTTACAGTTCCACATGACTGGGGAGGCCTCAGAACCATGGCAGGAGTTGAAAGGCACTTCTTACATGGTGGCAGCAAGAGAAAATGAGGAAGAAGCAAAAGCGGAAACTCCTGATAAACCCATCAGATCTCATGAGACTTACTCACTATAAAAAGAACAGTATGGTAGAAACTGCCCCGATGATTCAAATTATCTCCCATTGGATCCCTCCCACAACATGTGGGAATTATGGGAGTACAATTCAAGATGAGATTTGGGTGGGGACATAGAGCCAAACGATATCATCCCACCCTGGCCCCTCCAAATCTCATGTCCTCACATCTCAAAATGAATCATGCATTCCCAACAGTTCCCCAAAGTCTTAACTCATTTCAGCATTAACCCCAAAGTCCACAGTCCAAAGTCTTATCTGAAACAAGGCAAGTCCCTTCTGCCTATGAGCCTGTAGAATCAAAAGCAAGCTAGTTACTCCCTAGACACAATGAGGATACAGGTATTAGGTAAACACACCCATTCCAAATGGGAGAAATTGGCCAAAACAAAGGGGTTACAGTGCCCATGAAAGTCCAAAATCCAGTGGGACAGTCAAATTTTAAAGCTCCAAAATGTTCTTCGTTGACTCCATGTCTCACATCTAGGTCATGCTGATGGAAGAGGTAGGTTCCCATAGTCTTGGGCAGCTGCACCCCTGTGGCTTTGCAGGGTATAGCCCCCTTCCTGGCTACTTTCATAGGCTGGCGTTGAGTGTCTGCAGCTCTTCCAGGTATGCGGTGCAAGCTGTCGGTGGATCTACTATTCTGGGGTCTGGAAGACAGTGGTCCTCATCTCACAGCTCCAATAGGCAGTGCTCCAATAGGGTCTCTCTGTGGGGGCTCCAATGCCACATTTCCCTTCTGCACTACCGTAGCAGAGGTTCTCCATGAGGGCCCTGCCCCTGCAGCAAACTTTTGCCTGGGCATCCAGGCATTTCCATACATCATCTGAAATCTAGGGGGAGGTTCCCAAACCTCAATCCTTGACTTTTGTGTACCCGTAGGCTCAATACCACATATAAGCTGGCAAGGACTGGGGCTTCCACCCTCTGAAGCCATAGCCCAAGCTGTACATTGGCCTCTTTCAGCCATGGTGGGAGCAGCTTGGACACAAGGTACCAAGTCCCTAGGCTGCATATAGCATGGGGACACTGGGCCTGGCCCATAAAACCACTTTTTCCTTCTGGGCCTCTGGGCCTGTGATGGGAGGGGCTGCCATGAAGGTCTCTGAGAAGCCCTGGAGACATTTTCCCCATGGTCTTGGGGATTAACATTAGGCTCCTTGCTACTTATGTAAATTTCTGTAGCTGGCTTGAATTTCTTCTCAGAAAATGGGTTTTCCTTTTCCACTGCATCGTCAGACTGCAAATTTTCTGAACTTTTATGTTCTGTTTCCCTTTTAAAATGAAATGCTTTTAACAGCAGCCAAGTCACCTTTTGAATGCTTTACTGCTTAGAAATTTCTTCCCCAGACACCTTAAATCATTTCTCTCGAGTTCAAAGTTCCACAAATCTCTAGGGCAGGGGTAAAATGCCACCAGCCTCTTTGCCAAAACATAGGAAGAGTTACCTTTGCTCCAGTTCCCAACAAACTCCTCATCTCCATCTGAGACCATCTCAGCCTGGACCTTATTGTCCATATTACTATCAGCATTTTTGTCAAAGCCATTCAACAAATCTCTAGGAAGTTCCAAACCTTCCCCCATTTTCCTGTCTTCTTCTGATCCTTCCAAACTGTTCCAACCTTTGCCTGTTACCCAGTTCCAATGTCACTTCCACATTTTCGGGTATCTGTTCAGCAATGCCCCACTCTACTGGTACCAAATTACTATATTAGTCTATTTTCACACTGCTGATAAAGACATACCTAAGACTGGGAAGAAAAAGAAGTTTAATTGGACTTACAGTTCCACATGGCTGGGGAGGCCTCAGAATCATGGCAGGAGGTGAAAGGCACTTCTTACATGGTGGCAGCAAGAGAAAATGAGGAAGAAGCAAAAGTGGAAACCCCTGATAAACCCATCAGATCTCGTGAGACTTATTCACTATCACAAGAACAGTATGGAGGAAACTGCCCCTATGATTCAAATTATCTTCCTCCAGGTCCCTCCCACAATACATGGGAATTATGGGAGTACAATTCAAGATGACATTTGGGTGGGAATGTAGAGCCAAACCATATCAGGTAATGAGGGTGCTGCCCTCATGATGGGATTAGTGCCTTTAGAAAAAAAGAAAGAGACTAGAGCTTTGTCTTTCTCTGCTTTGGAAGATAGAATGAGATGATGGCATCTGCATAACAGGAAGAACACCCTCATTCTAGACACCAGATCTGTCAGCACCTTGATCTTCGACTTCCCAGCCCCCAGAACTATGAGAAATAAACATTGGTTGTTCAAGTCACCCAGTCTGTACTCTTTTGTTAGAGTAGCCCAATCTAAGACACGTATAACATAGAGCTAGATGGTTTTACAATGTTATTTTTAGCATTCTGCCTACATCTGTTTCTTCTTCTTTCTTCTCTGATTATATAATTGTTAAATCCACTGTTTAATCGCCTAAGCTTTAAAACTCTAAGTCATATTCAATTTTTCACTCTTCCCCCTAACTGCTATCCATTGTGTTTCTTCCATAATATCTATATTAATTTTCTATTGCTATGATAACAAATTATTATAAACCTGGTGGCTCAGTACAGTGCAAATTTATTGTCCTGTAGTTCTGGAGGTCACAAGTCCAAAATGGGTTTCGCGGAAATAAAATCAAGGTGTTGCTGGGGCTACATTTCTTCTTGAAGCTCTGAAAGTATTCCTTTCCTTGCCTCTTTTCTCTCCTAGAAGTTACCTGCATTCCTTGGCTCATGGCCCCCGTCTTCAAAGCCAGCAATGCAAGATTGAATCTTTCTCACCTTACGTCACTCTACCACAGACCCTTCTGCCTTCCTCTTCCACATTTAAGGAGTCCTGTCATTACATTGGGCCCATCAAGAAAATCCAGGATAATTTCTTTATTTTAATGTCATCTTATTAGCAACCTTAATTTCATCTGCAACACTCTCTTTTCAGATTCCAGGATTTAGGACATGGATCCCTTTGGGGGACCATTATTCTGCTTACCACAATACCTATCATATGTATTTCTTCTTTTATTATAACTATGTGACTCTTTTATTTCAGGCCCACTTAGTAAGATCATCACAGTAACTTTTGACTTTCTTCTCTGCCTTTAGTTTCTTATCTCTCTGACATTCTAATCTCTGGTGGCTAACTCCATAAAGGCAAGTATAGATTGGTAAATCTCTTCTCAAAAAGCTTCATTAGCAGCCTCTTCAGTAAGGCAGTGCTCACCAAGCTCTTTTAATTGTGCAACCCATCAGCACAAATTTGTTTGTATACTAATATGTTTTTATTTAGTTATTTATGTTCCTATACCATTGTACTAATATATTTTAAACTTATACATAAAACAAATTCAAAAAGATGAGCAAAAGATGAAACAAACAAGATATTAAGAGATTAAAATTTTTATCTCAAGGACAAAAATTTTAATCTCTTAATATCTTGTTTACATATGTAACTAACCTGCACATTGTGCACATGTACCCTAAAACTTAAAGTATAATAAAAAAAGATTAAAATTTTTAAATCTATAATTCAGTTAATGTTTTCCATGATAGTGTCATGAAGTTATATATGATTATATTATAAAAATCCTAGCTTAACATTTTGATTTAATAAATTGAATATTTTGGAGTTAACTCCAAATTATTTGCTGTAAGTGTTATAATTTTAGAAGTTCCCTCAGAAAATACATATGAGAGAATATATTGTTAATGCAACAAATCATGACACTCAATTTTGAATGTTTTGCCAGTTATGTGAAAATTTTTTCTTTTTTGGCTGAAATTTGACACCTAAATTTCTGCCTTCCTTAACAGGTTTTCTTGCAAATTAATTATTCAAGTGTTACATATTAATAAACACTTCAAACCATCTGAAACTCTTCATTTAGAAGAGTTCTAAAGACTAGAAAAATTCATTTCTAAATTTAAGCTTGGTGACATTTTTTTGAATACATCATATACTTAAGTCATTTTTAGTAACAATTTTTTTTTAAAAGTGGAAGAAGTTTTCCAAACACTTATATTCTAAATGTTCTCTCCGTAGCTTTTTTTCTATCCCAAAAGCTGTACTTTCTTTTTTTTTTTTTACTTTCTTAGGTATGAAAATATTTATATTTACCAGGAAGAGGCAGATAAGGCATATGTGAGAATAATCTATTGTTATCCTAGAAAATACTTGCAAATTTGAAATATAGTTTCTATAGAAGTAAAACATATAACTCATCTTTAATTTGACAACTGTATAACTCCTTTAAGTATGCTCCTTTCAGATAACCAACAAACATCTGGGTGATACGTAAGATGTTCTTGATGAGTCTTCATGTTATTATTTAAAGTATGTAAGAATGCTACTAATTAAAATTACCCATGTCAATAACTTCTGAAGGTGGCTATGTAAGGGCTGAAAGTGAAAGCCAGGTTCAGAGAAATGGCCCCCTCTCTCAAGATTCCTTATATGTATCCGTTGGTGATTCACGTCCATCTGACATATATGTCAAATAAAAAGCCATTTCAATTTTTATATTTCAAAAACTTAGGTAATGAAATACTGTCGTTTTCAGCAACATGGATGAAACTGGATGTTACTAGGTTAAGAGAAATAATCCATGCACAGAAGAACAAATATTGCATGTTCTCACTCATATACAGGAGCTGAAAGAATTGATCTCATGAAGTAGGGAGTAGAATGATAATTACCAGAGTCTGGGAAGCGCTGGGGGATTAGGGGATTGAAGAGAGGTTGGTTAATAGATACAAACATTCAGTTAGATAGAAGGAATTAGGTCTAGTGTTTGATAGTACAGTAAGATGATTAGAGTTAACAATATATTACATATTTCAAAATAGCTAGAAGATGTGAAACATTTAAAACACAAATGGTAAATGTTCAAGATGACAGATGTCTTAAATACCCTGATTTGACCATTACATATGTGTGCGGGTATCAAAATATCACATGTAACCCCAAAATATGTACTAATATTATGTGTCAATGAAACTAGATGCTTTTGACATGTTCTTCCTATGTCGACAGATTGGTTATTTTTTAAGCCCCAATTTTTAGAACTGTGTGCTAGGATATAAAACTCATGCTGTTGTAATAGAATTCAGATCTCATTTCAATTTGATGACTCACCTGTGATTTTTCTACCCTGTACATTGCCTTGTGTTACTCACTCTACATAGACTACCGTTCTCTCTTCTTTCTTTAATTTTACTTTATCTGTTTCTCAAAATTCATGCATCTTTCAAGCCACAGGACCTGCCTCATTGCAGCTGCACAGCAAATGCTGGCCGAATCAAAGGCCTTCTGTTTGTCTTTTGGTGTACTTTTCCTAACTTGTAATTACATAGCCATTTATTTGCTGACCTGCTTGTTTGTCTCACTGACAAAAATTCACAAAGATATATAGGGATTGTGGCAGCTTTACTAACCATCAAATAAATATTTGCACCTTAGTCAGTTACTTGTACAAAGTAGGTGCTTTGTAACTACCTATCAGTGAATAAAGGTTATATAATTATGAAGCCTTCACTGATATTTCATACCAACTATCCATAATTAATATTTTCCTTTTCTGTTTTTTAGGATTTGTACTTTGTATAAACTAGATACCCAATAACTACTGAGTTAGAAAAAGATGCAATAAGTGACTCAGGCTTTTTTATTGTTTGCTTTTTGTTTTGTGGTTAGATCCGAACCAGCAGTAAAGGTACAAGTGGAGTGTTGATTGCTAGAGTGCTATATAGTTGAGATGGAAAGTTATTTGGAAGGGTGCCTGATGCTGAACATCAAACCTTTAGTTGTTCAGTTACGGAAGTCATGTCTGTATATGCCATTTCACAGCATTGTGCAAATTGCTTATGACTGTACCCAGTAGAAGGATATTCAACCCTAGCCAATTGCAGCAGTTTAAAAACAAACTCCAGAGCCCAATATCACAACTGTTTTCTTCCTTTTTGATCTTACCTCATTTGGGGGACAGGGTAAGGGTGGCATAATGTGCCGAAATCTGTCAATACTTTGTGTTTCTCATTCATTAAAACCTTCAGATCTGTTTTCCTAGAGGCTCCATTTACCAGGGAGGGCGAGGAGAAAAACACTAAACAGGTGTTCTTGACTTGAAAAACAGCAATTTCAAGCAACTCACAAGGGGAGAAGTTGGAAATTTTCAGATTCAGAAGTTGTCACAGGGAGATAAATTTGGGTTACATATTCGTCTCTTGTAAACAGACTTTCTTTAACATAAATTTGTGCAGTGCATGAGACACCTGATTTTTCTGGCGGCAGACATGCTTCATGGAACAATTGTGCTGCAGAGAGAAAGTGAATATTTTCCCAGCCTTCTTCCAAACGCACAAGTATGAGCTGAAGGAATAGTATGCTGAGCTGCTAATACGGAATGCCAGCTTCCCCTAGGAAGAAAAATATCTATAGGAAAAAATATCTCTGGTAAATAATGGGTTTGATTGATGGGAAGTGCCTGAATTTTGAGCAGTCTAAATCAACTTTAAATGTTTCTATAATGCCATCAGATTATTTGTCAGGTAAACAACCTAGTACATTAAGTATCTTATACAAAAGGACTGGGAAGTACTGTGTTCTTCTCTGAAGCAGCATCTATCTGAGGCAAGGAGAAAGTTTGAAGAGCTATTTTCTATAAAAGTTTTCCTCAAAATGTGGTCCACAGGGCAGTAACTTTAGTGTCACTTAGTAGCTTGTTAGAAATGCATATCCTTGGGCTCCACCTCAGAAGTACTGAATCAGAATCTCTGAGAGTGGGGTCCAGCAATCAATGGTTTTACAAGTACTCCAGGTGATTCTGATGTATGCTAAAGTGGGAAAACCATTGTTCTACAGAAATTCAATTCATTACTTCATTCAACAAATATTTACTGAGTATCTAATAAGTTTTAGGCACTGATAATACAGCAATATGAACAAACACCCAAACTCTTGCTCTCTTACAACTTATATTCTCATGGACAATGTGGAAAAGTCAAAGGAAATAAGAAATTCATTGGCTGGAATATACTATTTTTGGCCCTGCAAGATGCTCTTTTCAGTTACTACGATGTTAGAGGTAGGCTGTTGTCAAAAGTTTCAAGGTAAGCCTTTTGTAACTGAACCAGATTTATTTCATTTGAAAATGTAAATTACGTTTCCTGTCATGGCCATCTCTCCTGGGACTATTTTCGACATTTCTACTTAATACTCATATACAAACGGGTAGTTGATCTACATATACTTGTTCTCCAAAATAATTTGTCATCTTTCTGTGCTTGACACTGTAGGCATTGGAAATGCACTGATTGACATGATCCTTGGTATCTGGGCTCTTATTCTGTGGAGGAATATCATTGAACCACATGATATCAAGGACATACAACTAACAGTCAACAACAGATGGCTCAGATTATTAAATAAGTGTAAATAAACATTTTTATAAAGCACTGGAGGAAGAGTGGGTCCTGAGCATTGGGTATTAGGTAGGCTGGAATCAATAGGAAATAACCATCTTTCTTCTAGCTAGTCATTTATTCAAATGCTATTTTTTCCAACTTTGAAAATGTTCATAATAAAACATGTGAATAGGCTGGGCGCGGTGGCTCATGCTTGTAATCCCAGCACTTTGGGAGGCTGAGGCAGACGGATAACGAGGTTAGGAGTTTGAGACCAGCCTGGCCAAAATAGTGAAATCCCATCTCTACTAAAAAAATACAAAAAATTAGCTGGACATGGTGGCAGGCGCCTGTAATCCCAGCTACTTGGGAGGCTGAGGCAGGAGAATTGCTTGAACCTGGGAGTTGGAGGTTGCAGTGAGCCGAGATTGCGCCACTGTACTCCAGCCTGGGCAATAGTGCGAGACTCCGTCTCAAAAAACAAACAAAAAATCAAAAAACATGCGAATAAGTCAGAAGGCAAGTACAGTAAACACCATATAATTTTTCCTTTTCTCTCTCTCTTTAAACACACACACACACATGCACACACAAACATTATTTTAGTCCATTTGAAATCTTAAGCTGCAGATGTTAATAATTCCGCATAGATCTCTTAAGAATAAGGACATTTGCCTAAATTACCACAATGCCATTATGATTTCTAAGAAAGTAACAATAATTCTAGAAACCATAAAATATCCAAATCCTTCTCAAATATCTGCATTTTTCTTAAGAATGTGTTTTTCCCTCCATATGCATATCCAGTCAAGGATTCATACCAATCATTTTGCTTTTCTGTTTCTTTGGTTTCTTTTAATCTAGAATAGTTATTCTACTTTGTTTTCTCCATGATGTTGACGTTTTAAATATTTCAGGTCAGTTATCATGTAGGATCACTCACATTCTTCATTGGCCTGATAATTTCCTCTTGGTGTCATTTAATGTGTACCTCTATGCTTTGAATTTACTGTGCACTAGAATGTAGGTATAGAGGCTTAATTGGATTTCATTCAGTAAATGTTTGACTACCTATAATGTGCCAGATACAGTGTGGTAAGCAAGATGGACAAAGCCTTACTCTCATGAAGTTCAAACTATATTTGGGAAAAACACACTTTAAATAAACATATTATAAACCTGTAGAAAGACAAATTCTTCTATGGTAAGTGCTATAATTAAAATTAAACAAGATGATGTGACAGTGAGTTAGTGACAGTTGATGGCGTAGGAGATGACCAAGCAAGACCTCATTGTGGAAATGATACTTAAGGTTTGACCTGGATGGAAATGGCAGGAATTGGGTGTTAGCAATGAAGAAAATTAATTTGCTAAACCCATTGACTAATGCAAACACTTCTTAGAAGTTGTTGAATTTCATGAGTTATTTGAATGAAAGAAGGGAGAGCTTGGGAAGTACTAACTTAGAAATTTTAGGAGAATCATCATGTGAGCCATCAGACAAGGGTTGGTGGGAAGAGTTTTGACCAATTAGGTAAAAATTCCAGTGAGTTGTGAAGCCATTCCCTTTGGCTACTCACTGTACACATATCCATCTACATACAAAATACACATCTAATAGAATGGATCTAGTCCATGAGTAATTTCTCAGCCAACATTTGACATATCCCATGGGAGAGGTTTTGACACCTGTCAGAAAGATCTGGGTGGGTGCAGTGCTATCAACACAGTGGACAAAAAGGAGAAATTTTCAAAAAGTAACCAAGAGGTATAGTTAGAAATTTACCCAGTATAATTGATCACCTTTATCCTCATAAGTTGTTAAAATGCCATACAGAACTTTTTTGGGAGTTGCCTGCCAGAAACATCCAATCTCCCACTGTGGGAAGTTGGGGAAGTGGAATTAATCTCAGTTCTTTTGCCATATTTATCATCTTTCTTATCTCTTCAAAATACATGGCCTCCTATTCAGGTGTATTTTTATGAGTTGCAGGAATTCACTTTGGTTGCATGTATGGATGTGACATTCTTAAGCACATGCAAATAAAAGTCAGTAGTGAAACGTGTTGTGAACAGAGAGGGGAACTGAAGAAGATTCCTTTTAAAATAATGTTCACTTTGTTCCTTGGCAGAAAAACAATAAAAACTGTATATTCGAGGGCACTTGTATGCTATAATACTGTGGTGGATAATTGTGACAGATGAAATACCCACCTACACGCATAGTATACATTTAATAGGAGGTATCTAGTCCATGGGTAATTTCTCAGCCAGCATTTGACATAGTCTTTGGGAGAAGTTTTAGACACCTGTCAGAAATATCAGAGGAAATGCTGTTTCTGGAAGTTGACAGTGAGGAAGCCGACTGAATTCTGGCCATTGAGAAGAGCATACTCAGGGAGAGAAATACACTGGAGCACGTGACGTTCCTCATAACTGTTTTCCATAGCTGCTCTTCACATTAGGCCTCAGTCTGCCCATCTGTGAAACCAATCTGTGAAATGTGTTTATTGAAAATGCTTGATATGTTGGTGTGTCAAGAAAGACAACTCAAAAAGGAGACGTTTACCAGTTATGTAGCATTTCTAGGGATTTTTAATCAATTCTTATGGTTCTGTGCAGATTGGTTTCTGTTTTTCATTTATGTGTTTCATGGTAAAATGGTGTGTGTGTGTGTCTGTGTTTGTGTGTGTGTACGCATGCACTTTGCTTACTCAAGTAAAAAGGATAAATCAATTTTTTCATTATAGTACAAACACATTTCGGGAAAATTAGTAGTTAATTTGCATACTTTCAAAAGGCTATGGTCCAGAGCAATGCTGTCTATCAGAACTTTCTGAGATCAGAGAAATTTGCTAACTCTGCATTATCCAATATGATAGCCACTGGCCATGTGTGGCTATGGAGCTCATGGAATGTAGCTGGCATGAATGAGGAAGTGAATTTTTATTTAATTTAATTTAGCTTAATTTAATTAATCTTAATTTAAACTTAGACACATGTGGCTGGTGGCTACCATTTTGGGTACAGCAGGTTTAAAGAGATGTTGAAAAATGTTTTTTAAAAAAGGTCAACATCTAGTTTATGCAATCTACAAATTAGGTTATTTTTGTCTTAGATTCTGATTATTAGTTTATTTTCATGCCTGAATTACATTCTCAAATGTAATCAATGTATTCCGTGGTGCTCATATTTGCTGGTGCTCATGTCTTCTTTCTTCTTCATTGTCTAGTAGTATTTGCAGTGTTATCCGCCCCCGCTTTAAAATGGCACATTAGCCACCTTAATCCTGCAGCATCCTGACTTTCTTCCTCATTCTCTCCTTGGTCTTTTCCTCTTCTTTCCAGTTTTCCTCAATATTATGGATATTCACTACAACTCAGACTTACTCTTTTGGATTCAGCACAAAGCTCTGACTCGTGTGTTCCATGAGAAGATATGTCTAATTCTAATCTTCCAGTGGTCTATCTTAGCATCTCACACTTTCTCCTTGAAATTTCCTATTCGATGCTCAAAAATCTAAGTTTAAAATTAAAATCTAACTCATAAGTTCTCTCCCAAAATTAACTCCCCATGCAATGTTGAAAAGGCACTGCTGTATTTTCTGTTATCTAAACTGTTATTTTCTGTTATCTATACTTGAAGCCTTGGCCATCCTTGAATTTTCACACTTCTTTGCACTCCCTCTCAACTCAGTCAATACATCCTAGCTATTCTTCTTCTTCATTTTTTTTTAAATGGACACTCCATGAATTTGTATGTCCTCCTGGTGCAAGGGCTATGCTAATCTCTGTATCATTCTAATTTTAATATATGCACTGTCAAAGTGAGAACAGTTCTTTCTTTTTACTAGATATTAGGTCATAATTTGTTTCCTTTTCATCTGTCCATACCCAGGCTTAGATCTTCTTTAGTTGACATGCATTATTTTCAGTCCCCAAATTGGTGTTATTACCTTCAGTCTCAATTGGGGTTGTACTATCCACTTCAATTCTCTCTCATCCAACTTTTCTTCACGCATCTTATCCTTCAGGTACATTGGACTGCCCATTCTTGCTGACTCAGTCTTGCTTTTCCAACCATGTGCTTTTGCTTAAAACAGCTAGCACTGACAGAATTGAGTTGCCTTAATTGTATATTCAAATCCTACATGCCCAAGTCTTGAAGTTTTATTCTGTTATTTACATATTATTCATCAACTACTTAGTGAGTGTATGCTCTATGCAGGCATTGAGCTGGGCACTAAAGACAAAGTGGGAACAGGATCTCTGCTTTCAAGGAACTGACATTTTAGTGGGAGAATCTGACAAGTAAATAGGTAGTTATGATAGAGTGTAATAAACTTTCATCTCATCATCTTCTGGAAACCATCCCAAGCCATGTTGGCTCCTCAGAACTAAGATATTACTCTTAATTACACTTAATTATATTACTAATTTCATCTGTTTCCCTGTCAGTGATACATTTTAATTTGTTAATCTTATTTACTTGATTAGATTATAAACTCCTTAAGGGCAAAAAGTAAATTTTGTATAGCTGAATATACCTCATAGCCCCTAGCCCACAATATTTTATATAAAAGTACATATTCAATATCCAGCAATTTATTTTATTTTATTTATTTATTTTTTGAGACGGAGTCTCGCTCTGTCACACAGGCTGGAGTGCAGTGGCGTAATCTCAGCTCACTGCAGGCTCCGCCCCCCGGGTTCACGCCATTCTCCTGCCTCAGCCTCCCGAGTAGCTGGGACTATAGGCGCCCGCCACCACGCCCAGCTAATTTTTTGTATTTTTAGGAGAGACAGGGTTTCACCAAGTTAGCCAGGATGGTCTGGATCTGCTGACCTCGTGATCCACCCGCCTCGGCCTCCCAAAGTGCTGGGATTACAGGCTTGAGCCACCGTGCCTGGCCAATATCCAGCAATTTATAAGAGAACTATTTTTTTAACCTTTGGAATCTTGCCTATACACTGCATAATCATTTCTCTGCCCATGTAAAATAGAAGAATATAGTGAGAGAGAATGAGGTTTGTTCATATTCAGTTTATATTGAATGCCACTGTTTTCCAATTCTGCTGTTGAGACCATCCACTGGGTTTTTTATTTTATTTTTTTATTTCCATAGGTTTTTGGGGAACAGGTGATGTTTTGTTACATGAATAAGTTCTTTAGTGGTGATTTCTAAGATTTTGGTGCAGCCATCACTCGAGCAGTGTTCACTGTACCCAAAGTGTAGTCTTAGCCCTCACCCCCCATGCCACTCTTTCCCCCGAGTCCCCAAAGTCCATTGTGTCATTCTTATGTCTTTTTGTCTTTGTAGCTTAGCTCCCACTTATGCGTGAGAACATGTAATGTTTAGTTTTCCATTCCTGAGTTACTTCACTTAGAATAATGGTCTCCAATTCCATCCAGATTGCTCCAAATGCCATTATTTTATTCCTTTTTATGGCTGTGTAGTATTCCATGGTGTGTATATATATATATCACATATATATACAATATACATATATATACCGCATATATACACCATATATGTATGTGTGAATATACACATATATATATTCACACATTTTCTTTATCCACTCATTGATTGATGGATATCTGGGCTAGTTCCATATTTTTGCAATTGCCAATTGTGCTGCTGTAAACATGCTCGTGCAAGTATCTTTTTCATATGACTTATTTTCCTCTAGGTAGATACCCAGAAGTGAGATTGCTGGATCAAATGGTAATCTATTTTCAGTTCTTTAAGGAATCTCCATACTGTTTTTCATAGTGATTGTAGTAGTTTACATTCCCACCAACAGTGTAAAAGTATTCCCTTTTTACCGCATCCATGTCAACATCTATTATTTCTTGATTTTTAAATTATGGCCATTTTGCAGGAGTAAGGTGATATTGCATTGTGGTTTTCATTTGCATTTCCCTGATAAATAGTTATGCTGAGCAGTTTTTCATATGTTTGTTTGCTATTTGTATATCTTCTTTTGAAAATTGTCTATTCATGTCCTTAGCCCCACTAAAAATCCTACTTTTTGATGGGATTTTTTTTTCTTGCTGATTTGAGTTCTTTGTACATTCTGGATATTAGTCCTTTGCTGGATGTATAGATTGCTAAGATTTTCTCCCACTCTGTGTGTTGTCTGTTTACTCTGCTGATTATTTCTTTTGCTGGGCAGAAGCTTTTTAGTTTAATTAAGTCCCATCTATTTATCTTTCTTTTTGTTGTTTTTTGCTTTTGGGTTCTTGGTCATGAAGGATTTGCCTAAACCAGTGTCTAGAAGGGTTTTTCCAATGTTATCTTCCAACATTTTTATGGTTTCAGGTCTTAGACATAAGTCTTTGATCCATCTTGAGTTGATTTTTATATAACGTGAGGGATGAGGATCCAGTTTCATACTGAATGCCAATTTTAGATGTGAATTCAATTACTTATATTATTTAAAGTATAATAAGTATTACAAAATGTTAGATGCTTATGCTTCAGATCGCCCTTATTCAAAATCCTCAATACATCTTAAAAATGCAGAACATAAATTGGAATTGTAACTACAAACTGCTATGAAATTTATGAAATATATGCTAATAATAAGAAGCCAATAATAAAATAATTGTAAGGTTTTGTAAATGGATGTTGATATTTTTTGAAAGTGCATCTTTTATTAATATAGTTGAATATATGAAGCCCCAATTGGAAGAAGCAGATTTTTTAAACAGAGTAATTTTTAAAAGTAAGTATAAATGTGCACTTGGCATCTGAGCAAAAAAATGAGAATTATTCTAATTCTCTTTCCATATAAACTTATTTCTCTTTGCTTTTGTTTTAATTTTTTAAAAACAGTTTATTAAGGTATAGTTGTTTATAAAATAAACTACACATATTTACAGTGTAAAATTTGATATATTTTGACATTTGTATGGGCCAGTGAAGCTATCACCACAATCAAGATGATGAAAATTTCCATTGCTCTAAAACATTTCCTCATTTTTTTTGTAATTCTTCCCAACACCTCTGCTTATCTCCCATGTCAAAGGCAATCACTCATCTCTTCTGTCAGTATAGATTTGTATTTTTTGTAATTTTATGTAAATGGGATTATGCACTTTCTTGTCTGGCTTCTTTCACTTAATATAATCGTTTTGAGATTCATCCACATTATAGCATTTAACATTAGTTCACTACTTTTCATTGCTGAGCAGTATTCTATCGTGTGTGTATACAACAGTTTTTCTATTTACTAGTTGCTGGACATTTGTATTGTTTCCAGTTAGGGGCTATTACAAATGCATGTACATATGCTTTAGTCTATTGTAGATACATATCTAGGACTGGAAGGACTAGGTTGTGTAATAAGATGTTAAAAAGCCATTTTTCAAAGTTGTTGTGCTCTTTTACATTTCCAGTCACAGTGTATGAAAATCCCAGTTGTTACACATCCTTGCCTACACTTGGTATTATCACCCTTAAAATTTGGGCTGTTCTAATGCATATGTAGTTACATTGCATTATGATTTTAATTTGTGTTTTCCCAATGACTAACAGTGTTGATAAACTTTTTATGTGTTTTTCAGCCAATTAAATATTTTTGTGACTATCTGTTCAAATGTATTGCTTGTTTTTTTGTTTGTTTTTCTTCTTATTGAGTTATAAGAGATATACTCTGGCTACAAGTTCCTTACCTGGTATGTTTTGTTACTCTTTTCTCTGAGCTTGTCGTTTGCCTTATTTTTTTAATCTTTGAAAAGAAAGACAATTAAATATAATGATGTCTAATTTATTTTAAAAATTTTGTGCTTTGTATTTTATATATTCTACCAAAAAAAACTTTGCCTCCCTCAAAGTTACAAAGATTTTCTTGTTTTTATTTTAGAAGTTTTGTGGTTTCAGGTATTGCATTTAGGCTTATTTCCATTTGGTAAGGATTTCATATATGGTGTAAAATATGATTTAAAATTCATTTTTTGGCATAGATATTTTAGCACCATTTGTAAATAAGATGATTCTTTCTCCACAGAATCACCTTCATGATTTTGATGCCTTAAACAATCATTAATCTACTTTCTGTCTTTGTAGACTTGCCTGTTCTGGTTATTTCATATAGATGGAATAATAAAATATGTGATATTTTGTGACTGGCTCATTTCACTTAGAATACTGTTTACATGTTGTAGCATATATAAGTGCTTTATTCATTTTTATGGTTGAAAAATATTTCATTATATGGATCTGCTATGTTTATTCATCATTTGATGAATATTTGGGTTATTTTCATTTTTTACTATTATGAGTAATGCTGCTTATGGACAATTTATGTGCAAGTTTTTGTGTGGACATATGTTTTTATTTATTTTGAGTGTTTACCTAAGAGTGGAGTTGCTGGGTTATATTTTAACTCTGCCTCACTTTTTGGGAAACAAAGTTTTCTCTAGTGGCCACACCATTTTACATTCCCACAAGTGATGTATATTGGTTCCAATTCACCAACACTTGTTATTTATTGCCTGTTGTAAGTAGGTGTGAAGTGTTATCTCATTGCAGTTTTGATTTGCATTTCCCTAGTGGCTAATGGTGTCGAGCATCTTTGTATGTACATATTGGCCATTTGTATATCGTTTTTAAATAAATGACTATTCAAATTGTTTGCCCATTTTTACATTGAGTTTTAGTCTTTTTATTGATGCAATATAAGAATTCTTTATATATTCTAATGTAAATCCCTTACTAGATCCATAATAGTCAAATATTTTCTCCCATTGTGTGGATTGTCTTTTCACATTTTCATGGCTTCATTTTCTCTGTTATTTTAAAGATTGCTTTAGGATTTATGGCATATGTTTTTAATTTATCACAGTCTACCTTCAGATGATAGTGTGTTATTTCACATACTGTATAGAAACCTAGGAAATTTACAATGGTGTATTTTCATTTCCTTACTCCTGGCCTTTGTGATATTGTTATCATACTTTTAAGTATGCTATGGATCCCACATTGCCTTGATAATTATTATTTTTGTTTAAACAATCAATTATCTTTTATGTAGATTTAAGTAATAAGAAAATTTATGGTATTTTAGATTTATTTCTACAGATCTATATTTTTATCTGGTAGCACTTACCAATATTTCTACCTGAATAATTTTTTTCAACATTTCTTCTAGTTAAAATTTACTGATGATGCATTCTTTCAACTACTGTATGACTGAGAAAGCCTTAATTTTCATACTAATTTTGAAAGGTATTTTTCCTAGGTATAGAATTCTAGGTAAAGAGTTTTAGTTTTTTCCTTACTTCGGTATTTAAAGGTGTTATTTCACTGTCTTCTTGCTTATTTTGATGGTTTCTGATGAACAATCTGCTGTTATTCTTATACATTAAATGTCTTTTTTCTCTAATTGCTATTACAATTTTCTGTCATTGATTTAAAAAATATTTATTATGATGTTCCCTAATGTAATTTTTAAAATACTTCTTGGATCTGTGGGATTATATATATATATATATTTTTTTTTTCTTTTTTTGAGATGGGGTCTCACTGTCACCCAGGCTGGAGTACGGTGGCATGATCATGGCTCACTGTGGTCTTGACCTCCCCAGGCTTGGGTGATCCTCCCACCTCAGCCTCCCGAGTAGCTGGGACTACAGGCATGCCCCACCACACCTGCCTAATTTTTTGTATTTTTGTAGAGACAGGGTTTCTCCATGTTGCCCAGGCTGGTGTTGGATTCCTGGACTCAAGCAATCCACCTACCTCAGCCTCCCAAAGTGCTAGGATAACAGGCATATTTTTAGCATATTTTTGTTTATTATTGCTTCAAATATATTTTTTTCTCCCCATTTTAGGGACTCCAGTTACATTTATGCTTAAAGTTATTCCATGACTCACTGATACTCTGTTCTTATATTATTACTCTTTTCTTTCTTTATGTTTCATTTTGGATAGTTTTTTTTTTTTTTTTTTGAGATGGAGTCTCGCTCTGTCACCCAGGCTGGAGTGTGGCGGCGAGATCTCGGCTCACTGCAAGCTCTACCTCCCGGGTTCACACCGTTCTCCTGCCTCAGCCTCCCAAGTAGCTGGGACTACAGGCACCTGCCACCACACCCGGCTAATTTTCTGTATTTTTTAGCAGAGACGGGGTTTCACCCTGTTTGCCAGGATGATCTTGATCTCCTCACCTCATGATCCACCTGCCTTGGCCTCCCAAAGTGCTGGGATTACAGGCATGAGCCACTGCGCCTGGCCTCATTTTGAATAGATTCTAATGGTATATGTTCAATTTCAGTAATATTTTCTTCTGTAACATCTTATCTGCTGTTAAGTTATAACAATTATTTAAATATCCTTGGTTGTATTCTAACATCCATGTCAATTTTGGTTTAGCTTCTGATTATGGGTGATACTTTTCTGCTTTCTTGTATATCTGGTAATTTTTAATAAAATGGCAGACATTATGAATTTTATCTTACTAGGTGCTGGATATTTTTGTATTCCTACAAATGTTACTAAGTTTTCTTTCTGGGATGTAATTAAATTATTGGAAACATGTTGATCCTTTTGTGTCTTTCTTTAAAGACATTATTGAGAGCCAGGCAATGTTAATCTAGGCCTAATTACTCTCCACTACTCAGGCAAGGTATTTCTGATCACTCTATCCGGTATCCCATAATTACGATATTTTTAAGTCAGGCTGGTGAGAGTATGCATCATTCCTGGTCTTACGTGATTACTGAACACCTTCTGCCTTTTATATTGTTCTTTTTCCTTGGCCTTAGTTTCCTCACATGCATGTGATGATCAGCACTCTGTTGAATATTTGAGAAGAACCATCTGCATATCTTTGGAGTTTGCATTTTGTGCAGCTTTCTCTTCCTTGATACTGTGTCATTCAAGTTCTACTTTTCTGGTTTCCCTGGAAGCTCAGCTTCATCTTCTTATCTTAAAGAGTGGGATAAGAGTGGGGCCTCTCTGAGCAGTGGCCTGGAAATTCTTTCAAGGCTATACATTGGAAAAGTTGTAGGACTCACTTTGTTTTCTCTCTCAGAGATTACTGTTCTTGTTTTCAGATGTCCAGTGCCTTGAAAATCATTGTTTCATATTTTGTCCGTTAATTTGACTAATTTAGGCAGCAGGGCAAATCTAGTCCCTGTTACTATGGAGACTGTGTAAGGCAGAAGTTTAAAAATGACCTTGCAACATTGGTCACCCTAATTCCCAAGACTGTAAATATGGTAGGATATTAAGCCTGTGAATATGTTACATTATATTTCAAAAGCATTTTTGCTAATGTAATTAAAGTCACCAGTCAACTGATTTGAAGATGGGGAGATTATCCTAGATTATTTAAATGGACTTAACTAATCCCATGAACCCTTTAAAAGCAATAGTTTTTGCTAACCGGCAGCAGAAGAGGATGTTCCAGGTGTGAGAGATTCCAGGTGTAGGAAGGATTTGTTGTATCATTTAAACTCATCTTTAAAAAAAGTAGAGGGCTACCTGAGAAGGAATGCTGGTGGCCTATAATAACAGAAAGAAGCTCCCAGTTGACATACAGCAAGGAAATAGGGTCCTTAGACCTAAAGCCACAATGAAGTGGATTCTTCCAATACCCTGAATATGCTTGGAAGTGAGTCTTCCCCAAAGCCTCCGCACAAGAGCTCAGTCCAGCTGACACCTTCATTTTGATCTAATGAGACCTTCTGCTGGGTTCTCAGCTGACCTACAGAACTGTAGTATGACAAATGGATCTTGTTTGAAACTGCTACTAAGTTGATGATGATTTGTACACAGCAGTATAACGCTAATACAGAAATACATAGTCTTTACGTTTTCCCTGCTACCAAAAGGTCTGGCTACTTTGTATAAGCTGCATGTATTAGCCCAGACTTGTGCTTGGTACCTCTCTAGTCTACTACTAGTATAATCCTCCTGCTTTACTGGAATTCTACCTTTTTTTTTTTTTTTTCCGTTTCCTGGTGGTCACTTTTAACTTCTAGCTCAGTGTTGTGTTGCTATTCTGGGCTTCTCCATCATTTATCCTGGTAATGAGAAGTATCCTCTATTTAGCTGCCATTCTCTCTCTGTTTCTCTCTCTCTTTTTTTTTTTGTTTTTTTGAGACAGAGTCTTGCTCTGTTGCCCAGGCTGGAGTGCAGTGTTGTGATCTGGGCTCACTGCAACCTCCGGCCCCTGTACTCAAGGGATTCTCTCACCTCAGCCTCCTGAGTAGCTGGGATTACAGGTGTGCACCACCACACCCAGCAAATTTTATATTTTTAGTAGAGAAGGGGTTTCACCATGTTGGCCAGGCTGGTCTGGAACTCCTGATCTCAGGTGATCATCCTGCCTTGGCCTCCCAAAGTGCTGAGAGTACAGGTGTGAGCCACCATGCCTGGCCCAATCTCTCTGGTATTATTTGCTACATAAAGGTTTAGTAGCCTCTGTCTTTATTCCCATAAGACTCACTTAAAAGGCTGCCTGAAGGAAACTGGAATGTAGAAAATCAGTAAAATGTAACTGTTGTTCATGTTCACAGGCTGTGCTCATTACAGGAGATGCCTCAACTTGCACCCTTGATCTGTGTTGTCCCATCCTAGCCTGCTGCTACAGCGGGTCAATGATGAGACCCACTCTCTTGATCATCCTATTGTCTCATTTCCAATGTTGATATTTATTAAATACTATTTAATGGCATTGTTGGGATTAATTCATCTTCCCTCTGAATTATGGACTGAAATTTTTGAACTATAAGATACATACTTTTTAAAAAATGCCTGTAATAACTTAAGTACAATTACCATGGCTTAAAAAGTCAATTTGTTTTCATTTTTTACTTTGACTTTTTGATACTTTCACAGTTCATCAGCATATTGGAGATGAGAAATAATTTTGATTAAATGCATCTTTTGGTTTCCTTAAGAAATATTACTATGACTATGCATTTATTAATGTTTTAAAATCCCTGAAGTATGTTTATTCTATTTGCCTAATTTGCCTATATTTGCCAAATAAAGATCTCGTCTTCTGAAAAACTAAATAAATGTATCAAGTATCAAACATTAGGTTGTACCAAATTCATTTTTACTGAACTAGGCTTCTTAATTTAAAGCCTGAGTAATATGGCTTTAGTTATTGCATACAATACAATGTGATGATTATCATTCAGGCTAATTTTACTAGTTATTCTAAATATTCAGATAGCAGGAATTACATGGTAACAGCGGCAGAAAGTTTTGAGAGTAGATCATTGTATATATAGGATAAAGTAGTGTATATGTAGGATAAAGTTTTGACAGTAGATGTATATATAGGATAAAGTTTTGAGAGTAGACCAGTGTATATATAGGATAAAGTAGTGTATATGTAGGATAAAGTTTTGAGAGTAGATGTATATATAGGATAAAATTTTGAGAGTAGATCAGTGTACATATAGGATAAAGTTTTGAGAGTCGATCAGTGTATATATAGAATATAGGAGAAATTCTGTAGGCTGACATCATAGGATGTAAAGCTGGATAAAATGGTAGTAGAAAAGGTCATCACCTAAGTAGAAACTGTAGCCATAGCATATAGAGTTGATAATCGTCTTACTTTCCATTATTATAAGTCTTCAGGTGTCTGAATAAGTCTATGGAAAATCCAGATTTTACCACCTGTTACCTCTGATGGCTAGGATTGATTACTAGTGATTTTTATCTTTTTCTTTTATTGCTTTGCTGTACTTGTCTACAATGTATATTTAGTTTTTGTGTGGGTCTTTGAAAATGTTAATTTAAAAACCTCTTTGGCATACCATAGTATTTTTTCTAAATTTGTAATTGATAAATTAGGATCACTCAACTGACTTCATAGACTTTTGCATTAGAAAATTTTAAATGCAACTATTTTCTTAATCAGAGGATTATTTTGGTGAAGTTAGTATGTGAGGGAAATGGATAGAAATGTAAACATGGAATACTTTGAAAATTACTAGCTATGGCATTCTTGTCTTTGCCATCCCCAGTAGTTACTGTATGGGGCACTTTGGATTGCCCAAGGGAATTAGTTTCTATAGGGCTAAATATCAAGGGCTTGGTGACAGTAGTTTATTTTGCCATCAGCAAGATTAGTATCTCAGCATTCTAGACCTCATAGAATTCCTATAGCCATTTCAGAAGGCTGACTATATTGACATCTGACCACTTGGTAATTACAGCCTTAGCATGAGAAGTCACTGTCCAAGGTGAATGGTATTTCTTACGCATTCTAAATATCAGGAATATCAGGATTACCAGGGCTGATCCAGAGTGTCTGTCAAATTCTCCAGACTGCTGACATCTGACCATTGATCAGTAGCTTCATGTTAGCATTTTCACTGTATCCCAAACTTTAAAAATCCTGAAACTGGACAGGTAGCCTGGGATTTGGGGAAAAGTCTTACTACATCTTATTGCTAAATTTGAAAGTTAAGAGTGGTTTAAAAATTATTGCTGTATGAAAGAAAATTGTCCATTTTTCTGATTCTATGACCCTTGTCCCCAAGAAAATTGAATAAAGGAAAGCTCTTGTTAAATTCATACAAGGGTATATTTCTGTCCTTTTTTCCTATAAACATTGGGAGTGACTAATTGGAGTTTTCCCATCATATTCTACAAAGTCAAAAAGTAAAGGAGGGCTGATTACTTATTAGCTTAGAGTATAATTATCTAATGGAATGGAAAATTCCTTGGGCAATATTTGACAACATTGAGATGAATGACTTCATGATGTATACTAATTGTAATTTATAATCATGGCTTTGAATGCTGTTATACAAATCTCATGTATTGAGGAGTCACAGCAGATGTATTTATGTAAATAAAGGCAGGATTTGATTTCGTTAATATTGTCTTAGGGATAAAAACTAAGGTCAATGAATAAAAGTTACAGGAACGGAAGGAATAATTTACCAGAAAATGGGGTTATCTTAAAATACGGAGTGAGCTTTCACTGTAGGTGGTGAATTCCTTTTTTCTGAACAGGACAGTTAGTATTGGGACAGGTAGCCTCTGATGTTACTCCTTTACTGAATTTTTGCTACGTATTAACATTGTAGACATAAACTCAAAGGCCTCTCAGTACAGATAAACTCAGTTTCATTCAAATGGAGAGTGGAGCCTATGGCAAATTGAAGAGAATGCCTGCTCTGCCTAAAGTAATTTAAATTCAAATAATAAATAAACTCCATTGTGCTGGCTAAATAAAATTTATTATCTGGCTAACCGTCAGATCCACAGTGGTAGGCATATTCATATGCAAGATTTTTCTCTTGCCATTAAAATCTATATTATTCTGATTTTATCCATAAAGAATATGAGATAAAGGAAACTGGGTAATTTGTCTAAGGTCAAATAGCTATTCAGTGGAAGAGCTAGGATCAAACTCCAAGTACATTATATCATTTAACCTTCCTGATAACACAGACATTGAAAAGTTAAATCACTTATCTAATATACCCAACCTGTTTTTTAAAAAAGCCCCAAGCTGGTATATTGGCTACTTTATTCTAAGTCAGTTTGGGTTCTTTCATTGACATCTGTTGGTGGTGATGCTATTTTATAGATGACATCATGGGTCCTTGGGAAGGGTGATCCACATTCAATTTCAGGCGTGGTGCCATAAGGAAAATGAGAGAGGGATACACAGACAGAGTCAGAGCTTTATTTAAACAAAATAGTTGACCACAAATAAGATATGGTGAGCGTAGTGAGCTGAAATCATGTCTCTCTTCCAAATTTATGTCCAGCCAGAACCTCAGAATGTGTTTGGATGTGGAAATAGGGATCTGTGGAGGGATTTAATTAAGGATCTAGAGATGAAATCATCCCAGAATTTAGGTGGGCCCTAAATTCATGTCTTGTGTCCTTTTAATAGAAGAAACAGAGAGACCAACTAGCAAAGAAGAGCTAGCAACACAGAGAAAAAAGCCATATGGAGACAGAGGCAGATATTGGAGTTAAATGTTGCCACAGCCAAGTAATGTTGAGGATTGCCAGCAACCACTAGAAACTAGGATAGAGGCATGGGACAGATTTTTCCTTAAAGTCTCCAGAAGGAACCAACCCTATTGACACCTTGATTTCAGGCCTCTAGCCTTCATAACTGTGAAAGAATAAATTTCTGTTGTTTTAAGCCAGACCATTTTTGGTTCTTTGTTATAGTGTCTTCAGCAAACTAATATGGTGAGAAATTCTAAAAATTTACCCACCCTTCATCCACGTCTTCCCTCCCACCCATCCATATGCATATATACTTTCTAGCTTTGTGCCCTTGAAAATGTCAGCAGTAGAATTCTATTAAAGCATATTCTTAATAAACTTTTACAAAAATAAAAATATGTTACCTGGGAAGAGTAACACATCAAGCTATTAAGTATTAACATAATAGCAGAGTTCTTTAAAAAATGATGATTGTTTCTAAAATCCCACTATAGAAGCTCTTATGCTGATTCAAACAGTATTTTAACTGGATTTGAGTGAGAATATTTGAAGGTAAAAGTCAAGTGCTTCTGGCTATTAGTTTCTGAGAGTTGCAATTATTATAAATCATGAATATATCTTTAAAGCATAATTTATATCGTATTAATGTACTAAAACTCATGGTGATATAGAATACATGATTATAGTTTGCAGCTCAAGGAAAGTATTTTTAAAGCAGTAGATTTAAATTTAGTATTAAACTTGTTCTCTATTTTTCAAGTATAGTAGGACTACAAATTCAGGTGATAGCTGAAAATCTTAGAAGATAATTAAGCCTATATTTCTTACCACTTTAGGTTACTTGGAAGGGTAAATATTTTAATGGGTACATTTTCTATCTACTTTCTCTTCAGATGCTGTGTGCAGGCTTTATTAAGCATAAAGAAATGAACCCAGACTCAATTTATGACAAGTCTTTTTATTCATAATAGAATAAAGCATAATTTTTACTTCCTCTGCATAAAATACACATACATCTCCCATATAAATTTGAATTATTTTTTCTCATTTTCTTAGAGATGATGATTTCTTAAGAAGAATTCTAGCAAAACTTCTGAAATGCTATTGAGAGAAAAACCAGGGACCAAAAATGAATTTAGGTATTATTTCATTCTTTTAAGCTTGTCTTTACAAACTATTCTTTTGTCCTATCAGCAGAGTGCTCTGAAATTTCTGGCATATTCTTGTCTCGCCATTCTTGGCTTCTGTAAATACTGCTTCTGTATCACTGTAGATCAGCATTTCTCAAACTTGTACTATTAACATTTGTGCTGGGTAATTCTTTGGGGGGAGGTGGGCTGTTCTGTGCTTTGCAGGATATCTGGTTTTACCCAGTAGATGTCAGTAGCACCTTCTAGTTGTAATAACACACACACACACACCCGCACATGTGCGCACGCACACACACACAGACACACGTCTCCAGACATTGCCAAACATCCCTTGGGGTGCAAAGTCACCCCTGGTTGAGAAGCACTGAAATGTACATGCATTTTCTTCTTGATGTTAAATCTGTTAAAGGACTTACTGAGGATTTTGGGATTGTTAGATTCTTTGATTTCTCCCATATCACTGACGTTACAGACTGCTGAAGTTTTATAATTAATTTCAAAGCCTTTTACACAACTTTAAATTTTGAGATTCAGAAAGCCTATGACTTATAATTCTCAGCCGGAGAATTATAAAAATTAGCCTAGACTCTAATATTCTTTTCATTTTATAATTCTTGTTTACCTTCCCCTGATTTAGGACTCATTAATGTTATTTTGCATTTTACTTTTTCCTTATTCTTCTGTCTAAAAATCTACTCTTAATATTTCCTTCTTCATTGTCTGGAGTTACAAACTGTCTAATCTGCTCCATGAATATTTCTAGTTCTGTGCAGTAGAAAAATTTGCATCATGCATTGTTTTTCTTTCCATTTAATCATTTTATTCATCCAGCAAGTACTTATTGAGCATTTTTCTAGAGTAAGATCCTGTGCAAGATTATGGGCATACAATAATGAATAACACTGTAACTATTGAATCAAAGATATGTTTTGACACGAACAAATTAAAAATATTTTTGTAGAGTGTTAATCAGACTTCTCTTGGCTTCATCTTCCATATAGCTCTCATCAGCTGAAATCTGATTATGTAGCCATTAGCAGATGTGGCATTTTTCTTCTTTCTGGCTCTCTAGTTTCGTTTGCCTAGAACTTTAATCGTGTTTATCATATGGCCTGTGGAAGCCTCTCCCTCCACCCCCAATGAATAACCAGCTATGATCTTTTTCCCACCTCTTCAGAGGATCCACATATTGGTCTCTTCTAAAAAGCAAAGTTTTATTTTTGTCTAATGATCTGGTCTGCTGAGGATTTGCTGGGTCGTCATGGCTGACAATAATACAATTGTTGAGTGAGTCACTTGGACCACTTTAGCAAATTAATTCTCAATACTCTGGGTTGTTATCATTATTTCCAAAATTGTAAGGACTTACCCATGAAGATATATTTGGTGTGCTCCTAGGTTTACCCACCTCCCATCCCTTGAGACTTATTTTTAGGGTTAAAAGACTTCTCTTTCAACATGCCTGGCAACGAAGAGTGATGGACAATAGAAAGATTATGTGAGCCACGTATGTACTTTTAAAATAAATAGTAGCCCTATAACAAAGATAAAAAGAAATTGTTGAAATTAATTCTGACAATATATTTTGCTGAATCCTACATATCCTAACTATTACCATTTCAGCAAACAATGTAAAAATCGTTAATGAGATATTTTACATTCTTTGTGATGTACTAGGTGAAATCCAGTGTTTATTTCACGCTTACAGCACATCTCAATTTGGACTAATCATATTGCAAATTTTAATAGTCCCATGGGGCTAGCAGATATCCTACTGGATGGCAAAGGTTTAGAATACTAATTTGATAGGTCCACCACACCCAAGGTACAGAAAGTCCCAGCAAAAGGGTTATGGTGACTTCAAGACTGATATATCTTCCCAGTCCAGAGATTTTTATCTTGTTGTTATCTTTAAAATTTTTCATTTTGTAATTGAAAAATCTATTTGAGTTTGCTTTCCATGGAAATGAAAGGGTTATTCCTGTTGGATTCTTCACCATAGTGAAGGTAATAGTTTGGGGTTTACACTATTATGTCCCTATAAAGCGTGCTGTACATCTCCTAACAAGACTGCCATTCATGTTCTCAATAAATCTTGCACAAGGGTATTAGGGTCTTTGAACTGACAATTGATTTACTGCCTGGAAAATTATTCTTTATTGATTTATATTACATGGAGGCGACTGCAAATCTATAGTGTCTCTAATCAGAGACAAAATACTAAACTGGGTGTCATTCTTACTTAGACAGGCAATTCCAAGTAGGAGAATTGGTTTCGCACCCCCAGGTGACATCTACATATTATTCAGTTATGAATTCCAGTAATCCATAAATTATAATAGATAAAGCAAGTGAGAGCAGGATAATTGATTTAAAAAAAAAAAAACCAAGTGTCTTTTGTGCAAACAAGTACTTTAAATGTCAACCCAGCATTCTTTTTTGGTGTGAAACTGGACACCTTGACTTGATTTTTTTCCTGAAAATTCTGCATCATATCTGGCTGGTTATTTACACACTGAAAATGCAAAAGCGTTTTTAAGTGAGTAAAACCTTTTAAATAGAAAAGTGCCGTAAGTTGATTAATCAGGTTAGGGAAGGTTTCTAAATACTATGTTAAAATGATTTACTAATTTCTGTGAGCTACTTCAGGAAGTTCTCTAAGATTGGGAAGGGTCTGAGTGAGATCACCTGCTGTCTTCCCTGCCTTTGCAAACTTCCTTTTGCAGCATGTTCTAATCAAGAGGTTTCTGTCCAGAAAATAACCTGAATTTAATTGAAATGAAAAGAGAGGAAACATAGCAGCGGGTAGATCACTGCTTGGGCAGAAAGCAATGGAAGATGTAGGAGATACATATATATATATATATATATATATATATATATATATATATATATATATATATATGAGATTTGGTTTTGTGTCAAGTAATTTCACTGAAAGGAAACTTGGATACAGTTTGTTATCTTGATCTCTTTTGAACCAAGTGCGTTTTAAATGATAAATGCTTTCTTTTGGCAGTTATGAGCTTATTCTGGGATGTGGAGTGACATGCAAATATATATTTCTGTGTGTATATATATATGTGTGTGTGTGTATATATATACACACATATACACACACATATAGAAATCCTACAGCTTCCATTATTTAACAGTCAATATTCCAATTAATTTAACAATATCCAGCTGTAGGATTTTGGGAGGATCTACGACCTCTCTGAAATTGTATGTAAAACATGTACATGTTTAAATGTCCATTCCCCTGGGGAGAGAGTCTACCTAACAGATTGTACATGTTTAAATGTCCATTCCCCTGGGGAGAGGGTCTACATAACAGACTGTCAAATTTATCCATGACCTCAAAAAAAATCTCAGATATACATTGCATGTTCCTATTTGAATCCATAGCACCAAGCACAGTGCTTAGCAAACAGCAAGTTTTAGTAAATATTTGTTGGATAAATGAATGCTTTCAAGTTGTGTCAGCGTGATAAGTGGGTTTCCTAGAATACTCCAGTTTGTCCAAAAAATATTTTTCACTTTGCCTAGCTTCTTACAATTCCGACCAAATGTAACCATTGCTCAATCAACGGTATAACTATGTGTATTTACAGGCAAGCAAAAATTGCCATTTGGGGTTTGGAGCTCAAGATTTTGATCTGATTATCCCAGGTGGCATTTTTCCATTTCCTATAACATTCCTTCCTGCTACTCTCATTTTTTTTTCTTGTCTTCTCTCCCAGAGCTCTTTCTCTTCCTTTGATGTGCCTCCAAAATGGGAGAAAAAGTGGAAGCTTGGGAAGGAGTTTTCTACCATAAAAAGTTAATGACGAAAGGTATCATTGTGACATCCATTCAGAGACGCTTCTTGTTTGATTCAATAAGAAATTAAAATCCATTTGTTTATTTAAGAGTCATACCTTGATTGTGGGCTTGGACCTGGTGAAATACACAGAGACCTTGTCTTTATGGAGCTTACAGTTTAATGTTGAAATAACAAAATACATATTTTTAGTCAACAGTGCAGTGGTTTGGTTTTGTATCAGGTAATTTCACTGAAGGGAAACTTAGATGCAGTTTGTTACCTTGATCTCTTTTGAACCAGCTGCATTTTAAATGATAAAAGCTTTCTTTTGGCAGTTCTGTGTTTATTGCAGGGCCTAGAGTGACATGCAAAGTCCTAGATAGCAAGAACTGTGCAGTTGAGTTTATTCTTGCTGGGTAGGTCCTGCTTTGAGGCTCAGGGCAATGGGTTAAAGCTTTGTGTGTGTGTGTGTGTGTGTGTGTGTGTGTGTGTGTGTGTGTGTGTGTAAACAAAGGCAGGCTACTCCTCTCTCCCTTTATTTTCCTGTCTTCCAACCTAAGACAGCAATAACAAAAGCACTCTCATTCCTGTAAATAGTATCCAATTCTGTACTTCTCTACAAGGAAGCACACATCTAGATCTTGTATTTACCATACAGTGTACCATCAGGTTTAGTATTTTTCCTCATTCGATTACTTTCTGTTAAAAAAATTCAAACAACAGAGATACTGGGTCTTTAAAAACTGAAAACTAGATTTTTTTTAGTCGTTGTAGACAAGCAGTTTAATGAAAATGCTACTGAAATGCTTTTTCCTCTATGAAAACTAGTAAATCAATTACAAAAGCAATTTCCTTACACAGTATGACTTTATTGTGTTTGACCAGGGCATTTGATAAGTATTAGTTCTTGCTGAGAGCAAAGAGTAAATTTTATTTCAAGCTTTTCTTTCATGCAAACAGCGAGAGAAACCCTGCAAGGACAGTTGGATGCAGCCTTACCTTGGTTATATGTGCACAGAGGATGAGGGAATCCATTGGCTGGCCCGACTGCTTCGATGTCTACACTAAGAAAAGCAAGAAAGAGACTCTTTTCCTAATAAAAATGGGGGAAATGATGGCAAATTCTCATTTCTGGGCTTATTGAATACAGAAGCAAGTGTTACGGTATTCTTTCTTTCTTATTTGAGAGATCGTTCCCCATTACACAAGCACATGACCAAATTCTAGTCAAGCAAAACAATGTATGAAAATACAGATAAAAAAATCTAGGTTTTATGTGTGAACATATTGGAGTGGAGGATTAGCAGCTATGAATTTCCTTTCTGTTTCTGCGAGTAATATACAGATTGTCTTTGGGCCTAATGATATAAAAGCAGAAAAAAGACTTGCGATTTTCTGTGTGCCTAGTACTGTCCTAGGATTCATGTGACTCACATACCCCACTTTCTTTGTCCCCAGTGTATTTTGTGTCACCCACCAATGACTGAGGCAAAACATGCATATTGACTCAGTGTCTCTGTTTCCCAGCTGTAAATTGCTGATCATCATAATATCTATGCCATTCTATCTCATACAGTTGTAATAAAAGTGAAATTAGTTAATGGGTATGCTCAACAAATGTTAGCCACAGAAAGTGCTAGAATGAATGAGACGTGCTGTTTTATAACAGGAATGTAGACAAATGAGGTATAATAATTTTCTTGATGACTTCTCCCATTCATCTTCCTCCTATGCTCAGTCAGAGGGTGCTCCCTTCTCCCTGCTCCCACACTACCATGTATGTACCTTATCACACATTAATTATATGAAATTCAAGGCCGGGCACATAGGCTCATGCCTGTAATCCCAGCACTTTGGGAGGCCAAGGCAGGCAGATCACTTGAGGTCAGGAGTTCCAGACCAGCCTGGTCAACATGATGAAACCTTATCTCTACCAAAAATTAGCCGGGGTTGGTGTCGGTGCCCGTAATCCCAGCTACTCAGGAGGCTGAGGCAGGAGAATCGCTTGAACCTGGGAAGCAGAGGTTGTAGTGAGCCAAGATTGCTCCACTGCACTCCAGCCTGGGTGATAGCAAGACTCCATCTCAAAAAAACAAAACAAAAACATGTATGTATATATGAAATTCAAATACCAGCCATCCCCAACCTCAGCATGCAGACTCTTACATGGGAGAGTATATTACTTAATTTTGTTTTCTCAGTAACTAGTCTCATTCCTGAAACAGACAGGAATAACTGAAAAATGTTTGTTTAAAAAGGGGGCAGAAAGCCAAGAACTGAAGTAGTCCTTTGAAGATAGGATAAAAAATTAATTGGAAGAGATGAAGACATCCAAGATTATGGCAGCAGAGCAAGCATAGGTCAGAGGAGGAGATAGGAGAGGAAGGCAGTACAGAAGGGTAGATAAGGAGGGAAAATATTTGAAAATAGGCTAAAAACATACAAAATTGATGTTTTGGTAAGAGTGTTGAAAACATTATGCATATTTTGTTGATAAGGTCTTCAGTGTCAACTTGAAGAATTTGGTAGGAATTTAGATTTTTGAAATAATAAGAAGCCATGTATTTTATGTATTATGCAAAGTGTGCAGTTTGAATTCTATGTGAGTTTTTAGGTAAATTCCAAACACAACCCTTAACCTATCAGAAGACTTACAGTATCGTTTGAGAAGACAAGGCTTGAATTCTGATGGGTATAAGATGAACAGAAGATTAGTAGTAGCTGACTAAAACTTTTCAGTCTGTAATATTAACAAGACTCATTCAATAAATATTCAGTGATGAACTGCTGTTTTCTAGGCACATGGCTAGGATCTAATTTTTTTTTTTTTTTTTTTTTTTGAGACAGTCTTGCTGTTGGCCAGGCTGGAGTGCAGTGGCACGATCTCAGCTCACTGCAACCTCTGCCTCTCGGGTTCAAGTGATTCTCCTGCCTCAGCCTCCCAAGTAGCTGGGACTACAGGCATGTGCCACCATGCCTGGCTAATTTTTTGTATTTTTAGTAGAGATGGGGTTTCACAGTGTAACCAGGATGGTTTTGATCTCCTGACCTTGTGATCTGATCGCTTTGGCCTCCCAAAGTACTGGGATTACAGGCGTGAGCCACTGCGCCTGGCCGAATCTAATGTTTTAATGGCAAACATGATAAAAGTGGTCCTTGGCTTAAAGGAGAATTCAGTCTGGCAGAGGAGACAAAATTAACTAGGCAACATCACTGTGTGCTAAGAGTTGTGGGATTATATATGTGGGATATCTAACCCAAACCTAAGGGATTAGAGAAGACTTCTCCAGGAATGTGAGGCCTAAGTAGGACCTAATCATAGAGGTACTTATGAGCCATATAACAAGAGCAGAATTCTGTCTATCTATCTATCTATCTATCTATCTATCTATCTATCTATCTATCTATCTATCTATCTATCATTGTATTGTTCTATCATCTACTGATTATCTATTTTCTCTTTATATAGTTTGGAAAATGATTGAGAGGCTAAAGACTGAGAAGCCTTTAGGAGGCTTTTGAAGTATTCCTGAGAGTTAGTTGTGGCTTGACTAGAGCAGGGAGAATAAGGGCTTAGAGACAGATGAACATTAAAAAAACATTTACGGAAAAAGTTGTGGAGTTAGGGAGAGGGGGCAGATTTAAGTTTCATTGGCTTGTGCACCATGCTGTTTTGGTTACTATTGTTTTGTAGTATAATTTGAAGTTAAGTATTGTGATTCCTCTAGTTTTCTTCTTTCTGTGTAGGGTAGCTTTGGTTATTCTGAGTCTTCTGTGGTTCCATATAAATTTTAGGATTGTTTTTTCTGTTTCTGTGAGGAATGTCATTGGTGTTTGAGATGAATTGCATTGAATTATTGGACAATTTTGCAATATTGATTCTTTCAATCCAGGAACATGGAATATTTTTCCATTTTTTGGTGCCCTCTTTAATTTCTTTCAGTAGTGTTTTGTAGTTTTCGTTATAGAATTCTTTGATTTATTCTCAGGTATTTAATTTTATGTGTGGCTATTACAAATGGGATTACTATTTTTTAAAATTTCTTTTTCACATTGTTCACTATTGGTGTATAGAAATGCTACTGATCTTTGTATGCTGATTTTGTATCCTGCAATTTTTCTGAATTGGTTTATCAGTTCTAAGAATTTTCTTGTGGAGTCTAGGTTTTTCCAAATATGAGATTATATTATCTGGAAACAAGGATAATTTGACTTCTTCCTTTCCAGTTTGGATTTTTAAAAATTTCTTTCTATTGTCTGATTGCTCTAGCTAGGACTTCCAGCACTATGTTGAATAACAGTGGTGACAATGTGCATTCTTGTGTTCCAGATCTTAGAGGAAATGCTTTCAGTTTTTCCCCATTTAGTTTGGTACTAGCTCTGGGTCTGTCATAAATGGCTTTTATTACGTTGAGGTATGTTCCTTCTATCCCCAGTTTTTTGAGGGTTTTTTTTTTATCATGAAGGGATGTTAAATTTTATCAAATGCTTTTTCAGAATCAATTGAAATGATCATATGGTTTTTATTTTTCATTCTGTTGATATGATATATCACATTGATTGATTTGCATACTTTGAATTGTCCTTGTATCCCAGGGATAAACTCTACTTGGTCATGATGAATGGTGTTTCTAATGTATTGTTGAATTTGGTTTGCTTGTATTTTGTTGAGGATTTTTACATCAATGTATTCATCGGAGATGTTGGCCTGTAGTTTTCTTTTCTTTATGTGTCTTTGGTTTTGGTATCAGGGTAACTCTGGCCTAGTAGGATGAGTTTGAAAGTATTCCCTCTTCCTCCATTTTTTGGGTTAGTTTGAGTAGAATTGGTACTAGTTCCTCTTTAAATGTTTGGTAGAATTTGGCAGTGAAGCCATCAGGTTCCAGGCTTTTCCTTACAGGGAGATTTTTTTATTATGGCTTCGATCTTGTTACTTATTGGTCTGTCCAGGTTTTGGATTTCTTCCTGGTTCAATTTTGGTAGGTTGTATGTATCTAGGAATTTGTCCATTTCTTGTAGATTTTCCAGTTTCTTGGCATATATTTGCTCATAGCAGCTGCTTTGAATTTCTGCGGTATCAGTTGTATTGTCTTCTTTTTCATTTCTGATTTTATTTGGATCTTCTCTCTTTTTTTCTTAGTCTTGCTAAAAGTTTGTCTATTTTGTTTAACTTTTCAAAACACCAACTTTTCATTTCACTGACTTTTTTTGTATTTTTTATTTTTAAATTTCAATTTCATTTATTTCTGCTCTGATCTTTATTATTTCTTTTCTTCTACTAATTTTCGGTTTGGTTTGCCCTTGCTTTTCTAGCTCTTTAAGATACATTGTTAGATTGTTCATTTGAAGTTTTTCATCTTTTCTGATGTAGGCACTTATAGCTATAAACTTCCCTCTTAGTAATGCTTTTGCTAACCATAGGTTTTGGTACATTGTGTTTCCATCATCATTTATTTTAATACATTTATCAATTTCCTTCTTTTTTTGTTTTTGTTTTTTAGACAGAGTGTCTTTGTCGCCCAGGCTGGAGTGCAGTGGCGTGATTTCGGCTCACTGCAACCTCCGCCTCCTGGGTTCAACCAATTCTCTGCCTCAGCCTCCCGAGTAGCTGGGATTATAGGCACCCACCACCAGGCCTGGCTAATTTTTGTATTTTTAGTAGAGATGGGGTTTCACCATCTTTGCCAGGATGGTCTTGAACTCCTGACCTCATGATCCACCCACCTCAGCCTCCCAAAGTGCTGGGATTACAGGCATGAACCACTGCAATTTCCTTCTTAATTTCTTCATTAACCCACTGTTCATTCAGGACCATATTGTTAAATTTCTATGTGTTTGTATAGTTTCCAAAATTTATCTTTTCATTAATTTCTAGTTTTATTCCATTGTGCTCAGAGAAGATGCTTGATATTATTTCAATTTTTTGATTGTTTTAAGACTCGTTTTGTGACCCAACGTATGGTCTATCCTTGAGGAAGATTCATGTGCTGAAGAAAAGAATGTATATTCTGTAGCTTTTGGAAGAAATGTTCTGTAAGTATCTATTAGACACATTTGGTTTATGGTGCAGATTAATTCTGTTTCTTTGTTGATTTTCTGTCTGGAAGATCTGTCCATTGCTGAAAGTGGGGTGTTGAAGTCTCCAGCTATTATTGTATTGGGGCCTATTTTCTCTTTAGCTCTAGTAATATTTCCTTTATATATCTGGGTGCTCCAGTGTTTGCACATATATATTTGAAATTGTTGTATCTTCTTGCTGAATTAACCACTTTATCATTATATAGTAACCTTTTTTGTCTTATAGTTTTTGTCTTGAAATCTATTTTTTCTAATATAAATAGAGAGACTCCTGCTCTTTTTTGGTTTCCATTGTCATGAAATATCTTTTTCTATCCCTTTGTTTTCAGTCAATATGTGTCTTTATAGGTGAGGAATGTTTCTTGTAGGCAACAGATGAATGGTTCTTGTTTTTGTTCATTCATTCAGCTGGTTTATGTCTTTTGATTGAATAATTTATTCCATTTACATTCAATGTTATTGTTGATAACACTTAGTTATTTGTTTTCTGGTTGTTTTGTGATCTTTTCTTCCTTCTTCATTCCTGTCTTCCGCTAGTTAGGGTGATTATCTCTGGTGATATGATTTAGTTCCTTGCTTTTATTTTTTGTGTATTCATTGTACGTTTTTTTGGCTTTAGTTTACCATGAAGCTTGCAAATACTATCTTATAACCCATTTTTTTAAAATCTGATAGTAACTTAACACTATTTACCTAAACATGCAAGCAAAAAGAAAACCTAAAAAAACTTGCCTTAACTTGTCCCCTAGCTTTTTAACTTTTTGTTGTTTCTCTTTATGTTCTATTGTACTAAGTCTTGAAAAGTTGTAGTTTTTTTTATTGATTTATCATTTAGTCTTTCCACCTAAGATAAAAGTAGTTTATGCACCGCAGTTACAGTGTTATAATATTCTGTGTTTTTCTATGTACTTACTATTACCAATAAGTTTTGTACCTTCAGGTTTATGTGTTGTTCATTAACGTCCTTTTCTTTTTGATTGAAATACCCCCTTTAGCATTTCTTATAGAAGGGATCTGGTATTGATGAAATCCCTCCGCTTTTGTTTATCTGGGAAATTCTTTATTTATCCTTCATGGTTGAAGGATATTTTTACCGGATATACTATTCTAGGGTAAAAGTATTTTTCCTTCAGCACTTTAAATATGTCATGCCACTCTCTTCTGGCTTGCAAGGTTTCCACTGAAAAGTCTGTTGCCAGATGTGTTGGAGCTCCATTGTACGTTATTTGATTCTTCTCTCTTGCTGTTTTTAGGATTCTTTCTTTATCTTTGACCTTTGAGAGTTTGACTATTAAATGCCACGAGGTAATCTTTTTTGGGTTAAATCTGCTTGGTATTATATAACCTTCTTGTACTTGGATATTTATATCTTTCTCTGGGTTTGGGAGGTTCTCTGTTATTATCCCTTTGTATAAATTTTCTACCCCTATCTCTGCTCTATCACCTCTTTATGGCCAATAACTCTTAGATTTGCCCTTTTGAGACTGTTTTCTAGATCTTATAGGCGTGCTTTATTATTTTTTATTCTTTTTTGTCTCCTCTCACTGTATTTTCAAATAGCCTGTCTTCAAGCTCACTGATTCTTTCTTCTGCTTGATCCATTCTGCTATTAAAACACTCTGATGCATTCTTTAGTAGGACAATAGCAGTTTTCAGCTCCAGAATTTCTGCTTGATTATTTAAAATTACTTTCATGTCTTTGTTAAATTTATCTGATAGAATTCTGAATTCCTTCTCTGTGTTATCTTGAATTTCTTTGAGTTTCCTCAACACAGCCATTTCTAAAAGGTTGTATTTCTCTGTTTCTCCAGGATTGGTCCCTGGTGCCTTATTTAGTTCATTTGATGAGGTAGTATTTTCCTGGATGGTTTTGATGCTAGTAGATATTGTTTGGTGTCTGGGCATTGAAGAGTTAGGTATTTATTGTGGTCTTCACTGTCTGTGCTTATTTGTAGCTTTCCTTCTTGGGAAGGCTTTCCGGATATTTGAAAGGACTTGGATGTTGTGATCTATGCTATTCCTACTTTAGGGGGCACCCCAAGCCCAATAATGCTGTGGTTCTTGCAGACTCCTAGAGGTACTGTATAGATTGTCTTGGCAAAGATCTGGGAGAATTCTCTGGATTACCAGCAGACTCTTGTTCTCTTACTTTACTTTCTCCCAAACATACAGTCTCTCTTTCTCTCTTTTGGGGCCACCTAAAGCTGGAGGTGGAGTAACAAAAGTACCCCTATAGCCACCACCACTATGACTGGGCTGGATCAGACCTGAAGCCAGCACAGTGCTGGGTCTTGCCTATGGCCTGCTGTAACCACTCTCTGGCTACTGCTTATGTTTGCTCAAGGCCCTAGGCCTCTACTATCAGCAAGAGGCAAAGCCAGTCAGTCCTATGCCCTCCCTTTTAGGTTAGTGAGGTCCCCTCAGGACTGGTTGAGTCCAGAAGTGTTATCCAGGAGTCGGACAAGAGTCAAAAACCTTAGAAATCTACCTGGTATTCTATTGTATTATGGCTGAGCTGGTACTCTAACCATAAGATGCAGTCCTTCCAACTCTTCCCTCCCCTTTCCAAAGGCTGAGGAGCCTCACTCCCATAGCTACCACCACCCCTGCCCACAAGGAGTACTGCCAGACCACCACTGATGTTTCCTTAAGGCACAAGGTCTCTTAAGTCAGCTTGTGGTGAATGCTGCCTGGCCTGGGACTAACCCTTCAGGGCAGTGGGCTTCCCTCTGGCCCAGGGCAGGTCCATAAATGCCATCCAATAATCAAGTCCTGGAATTGGGGACCCCAAGAGTCCACTTGGTGCTCTATGCACCTATGGCAGTGTTGGTACCTGAAGCCGGTAAGTCTCAGAGGCTCAGTAAAGCCCTTGATGTAGTACCTAGGTATCACTGTTGGTTATTCAGGGCCCAAAGGCTCTTCAGTTAGCAGGTGATCAATGCTGGCAGGACTGGGTCCTTTCCTTCAAGGTAGAGGGTTCCCTTCTGGCCCAGGGTGTTTCTATAAATGTGGTCTGGAAGCTAGGGCCTGTAATGGTGGCCTCATAACACTGACTGGTGCCTTACCCTGCTGTGGCTGAGCTGGTATCCAAGATGCATGACTAAGTCCTGCCACTCTTCCCTCTCCTCTCCTCAAGCTGAAGGAAGGAGTCTCTTTTGGAGCTGCAAGCTGTGCACCCTGGGGTTGGGGGGCGGGGTGATGCCAGCACTCCCTTGGCTGCCCTACCTGGTGTCTTAATATATCACATGCCCCCCTTCCCCAGTCCACTTTCTCTAGGCCTAGTTCAGCCCTAGGACTCACCTAAGGGTCGCAGTCCTTATGGCCTAGACTGCCTTTCAAATTTACTTAGAGTCCCAGAGCACTTTGTCCCTCAGTGGCGAGGTTTATAGGCACTCAAATTCAGACCGTTATCTAGGACTGGTTTAAATGCTCCCCCTGTGGGTGGGTGTCAGGTAGTTTGGTTTGCTTTTTCTTTCTGCTCTAACAGAACAGCCCTGAGTTCAATGCCTCACAATTGTTGTGTTCTCCCTCCTCCAGTGTCTGGAGACGCACTCTGAACCATGCTGCTGTTGCTGCCAGGGGTTGGGAAGGGGTGGTATCAGTGATTCAAGATTGGTATTTCTAACTCTTCAGTGCCTCTTTCAGTGATGTGTTAAACCAGGTACTATGAGTGCTCACCTGTTTCTTGGTTCTTATGAAGGTGTTTCTTTCTGTACAGATAATCGTTAACTTGGTGTCCTTGTTGGGGGAGTGATCGGTGGAGCTTTCTAGTCTGCCATCTTTCTCCATCTCCTATCTAAAATTCCTAGATATTTCTTATATCAGTAAAACTTATAATAAACTTTTGTATGTATATATGCACATAGTTTCCCAGAGAACTGGCTGTTACGCATTTATTCAAACAGTACTGATCACATACATCTCCCCACACAGTTCCCTCACACCCTTTTGCTTCTTGCCTTCATCCCTGGCCCCATATAACTGTTGATCTATTGTCATTGTAGATTATTTTTGCCTGTTCTACAATTTTATATGTATTATTATATATATTTCAATATATTATTTTATATAAATGTAAACATACTTTTTTATATATTGCTTTTTTTTTACTCAATATCATGTTTTAAAGATTCAGCTATGTTGTTACAACTATCAGAATATCTATAGTTGGTTTATTTTCTGATTGCTACATAGTATTCTACTATATGTAAATACCATAATTGCTTTTTCATTCACCTGTTGAAGGACTTTTTTTTCTTTAGTTATTGGCTATTATAAATAAAGCTGCTATAAGTTTTTGTACACAAGCTATTTCATGGCTGATATTTATCATTTCTTTTGGAGGAAATACCTAGGAGTAGAATTGCTAGGTCATATGGAACATATGTTTTATGTTCTAAGAAGCTGCTAAACTTTTCCAAAGTGGCTGTACTATTTTACATTCCCCCAGTCTTGTCTGAGAATTCCACCTACTCCACATCCTCACCAATACTGCATTGTCTTCATCTTCTTAATTTTAACCACTTAAAATGTGTGTATAGGTAATTCATTGTGGTTTAAAACTACTATTTTTGAAGAACTAAAAAAGTATAGTAAAATATGTGGAATATGGAAGTGAAATCCAAGAGAGGAGTGTTTAAAGAAACAGAGATGTGTACAGTGTTACATGATGCTAAGAAGATAAAAAAGGGAAGAACAGGAAAGTGTCCATTGGATTAAATAGCAGAAAAGTCATTTTTACTTTGGTAGGAGTGATGATGGAGAGAAAATTGAAATCATTCAGTGGAAACTCCCACTGTTTTCCACCTTTAAGCCTAGAATTCAGTACTATTCATGTCACGAAGGGTCCAAGTATGTTATAAAATTTAGCTTTTCTTGTGGCTCAAACCTCACAATTGGACAAAGAAGAATCTCTTTCCTCAAGTAGAATCTTAGGCTGACACTGACCTTTCTCTTGCTAGGACATTTGATGTGCAGATGGACCTAGGAATAAGCTATTCTCATTTGTTTACTTCCAGACTGGAAAATTCCTTTTTGAAATGAATTACTAGAGAGTAAGTAAAACTTTATCCCATTCCCAATGTCCTTCTAACTTGGTGATTTCTTTCCCAAAAGAGGGTCATAAATCATCTGAATTGTCCCCTGATTTGTTCAGTGTCTACAGCATAGGTTTTATTAAATCAGTGATTATATTAGTTAAATGAGTGAAAGAAGGAATGAATAAAGGAGTGAATGAGATACATCATATAAAGTAGGTTCTTGGTTAAAATCCTCTGTTTTCAATTTTCATTCTTTTTTTTCTGTAAGATACATACGTATATACAGATACACATACACATACGTATATACGTACACATACGTATATACAGAATTCTAATCATTTCTAATTACCTCTACTACTATTTTCCTGATTCAACAACTATAGTTTCTCACCTGAATTATTGCAATCACCTCCTAATTGTTCTCCCTGCTAGGTTGACACGGTAACTTCCATTTCCAATTCAGTAGTCAAAATGATTCTTTTAAAACATCTCAAATCACGTCACCTTCCAATAGCTTCCAATGACGTGGCGATATCGGAGCAAAAGAAAATGTTCTTCCATTACATTGGCTTATAATACCTTTTAATATCTTGCTCTTTCCAGTCTCTCATATTGCAACTTTTGCATATGTTGCATATGTTTGCATTGCATCCTGTCCTACAACTTTTCCCTATGCTTTCTAAACTTCAGCATCCTAGCCCTTCTTCAAACATGCCAAGCACACTTCTACCTCATGGCCCAACCTCACGTACTCTTCCTCCTGCCTGAAACATTCATTCTCCAATAATCACATGGCTTGCTTTCTCTTATTTGTGCTCAAATAGTTTTTATTAGAAAGGCCATCTTTGACAACCAGAAATAAACTTCACCCTTACCCCTATTGTTTTTCCTTTCTTTGTTATCTTGCTTTATTTTTCTTAATTCTTATTTGTTACCATATTTTATATTTATATTTTTGTTTGTTTACCATCTATCTTCCAGTTAATAAACCTGAAGTTGTAAATTCTAGGCCATTATGGGCTTTGTGGCCAGCACAAAGCAAGTGTGTATTGGTAAATTAGTTAATAGGATATCATTTTTTATCTTGGTTTCCGGATTTTGGCTTACAAAATGCTACTCCTAGTTCATCATTGGGTTTAGTGATTTACCTTTCTTGCCATTTCCCAATGTTTTCGCATTTGATTAAACAAATAAACAAAAAAGCAAGAAAATAAGCATAGAGGCATATAGAGAATCCTAACAATAAATTTTATTAGAGTGCGGTAAAAATTAAGAAATATTCATGAAATGATAATGGCTTCTGATGATGTTTCAAATTGCTGGAGGTTTGGCTAAGTTGGGGAGATCTGGACAGGCTGCTACAGATGTCTCCAGCACTGGAACTGAAGGCTTGAGGAGCAGGCCAAGTTTGCATAAGTAAGTTGGAATTCATCCAGTCATCATTCTTTGCAGGCATTTTAATTGATTTAAATTGTTGCAATTAGCACTAAAAACCATTATTTATCTATTTCAGCATTTTAATCGGAGTGCCATGTACTCATTAAAATGCACATTTTGTATAAAGCTCATGATCAATCTGCCCCTTGGCCTGAAAATTTGGCACTACAACCCCTGTGCCAAGGAAGTGTCCCTTTGTCTTGTGGCAATTGGGGAGGTGGCAACCTCAGTCCAGAATACAGATGGTGATTGAAAACAATGCAATTCAACCTTCTAAACATGACCTTGACTAGGCTGCACAGGTCTCCCTGTGCCCTATAAATTACAGGTAATTACGCAGAAATAGGAGAGAGGCTCATTCTCTTGAGTCACCAGTGAAGTGCAACTGATTTCACTTAAGGCTGAGCAGCAGTAAAGTATATTAATATCAGCTTAATTTGTGGTAATTGAGGTAGTAATAAAGAATTACCCCTGGAATATTTTATTCCCATGATTATCTGGGTGTTTAAACTATGGGAGTGATTTTTGTTGGTCATAGTATAAAATATCCCATTCTCTCCCATCAGGAACTTAGTGTAATTATCGTCTGGCAGACAACACTGTGTTCAGCCATTTCCCCTGTCCCTTGGATGCATTTTTATTAGCCGAACCATCAAGTAACCTTATTTATTATTCTAGATAGAAGCATTTTGATCTCATTAACATGGATAATTTTCTCCAAACTTATGTAGTCATACTGCAGCCAAAGCTCCCTTTATGACAATTAAGATATACTGTTTTTTCATCGGGTGCCCTAATATACAATTAAGATACCATTCAAATCAGTAAATTTATTAGTATATTAACACACTAATTGGATTACAAACACATCCTCTTATTTCTGAAATGTTTATGATTTAATTGACTTGTTTAAACTAATTTTCATCTCCCCGTGCAATTATAGTTTGTTGTTAATTGAACTTATTTACACATGGAATACTGATACTGTATTCCCTTGTACCATGGAAATAGATCTAAAGGTCTCATCAGAGGGCTAAATTTTTGGCTTTATTCTTTGGGCACCTGAAACTGCTACCAGAGATAATAATGATCATGTGATATTCATTTGCTGAAATGTGTAAGAATTAGTTGCAGTAACTTCTAGAAATAAGCATGATTCCATTAGTTTACAATTATTGACTTATTCATGCACACTATATGTGGAAGAATTACTACTTTAAAAACATTCTTTTCCTCCCTCCCTAATTCAGTTATGGGTCCATAACTGAGATGGCCAAGGCCAGTGTCGCAGAGATAATGGGATATGGTGATGTATTTTGGAATGCTGGCAATCTGCTCTGCTGTTTCCATGTCTGGAATGCTCCCTGAATTAAATATTTTAAAGAGAGTCAAAGAGACATGCATGCACATTTATGAAAAGTAATTCCAAATGCATTATAATGCCTAATGGTAATGGTTTACTTTCAGGAGTAAATTTCATGGCTTGAGCTTGTATGTTGTCCTAGAGAAAGGTAGCTAAGATGTAAAAAGAATTGCTTGCGATAATTCTGAGGACTTTTAGCACTGTGGTTTTCCTCCTTGCAGCTTCAAATTTCTTCTCTTTTCATTATTTTTGTTGTGAATTATAACCCACATTCAGAGAAGCACATAAAACAAAGATGAATACCTGTGTGACCACTCCCTAGATCAGGAAATAGAATGTTACCTGCATGTCTCAGCTCTCCTTTCTGTCTCCTCTCAGGGCCTCTTAATAAAGGTTACTGACTTTCATGGGAATTACTTTTCTGCTTTTCCTTATAATTGTATACCTAAGTCTCCATTCTTAAACACTATAGTATAGCTTTATTGGCTCTTAGCTTTATGTGGGCAGGTACACAGTATGTATTCTTTTGTGTCAGGGTCTTTTACCTTAATAATCTTTGTGAGTCTGTGTTCAATATCCAAGTTGCGTGTAGCTATAGTTTACTTATTTTTATTGCTGTATAGTATTGAATTGGATGAACATAACCAAATGTTGTGTCCATTCCATTGTTGATGAACATTCTGGTTGTCTCCAGATTGGAACGATGACATATAAATGCTACTTTCAGGTATTCGCTGAAGTGAAATTGCCAGACCAAAGTTGCACAATTTACTTCTTCAAAGTAGCTCAGGAGGAGTCCCATTATTTCACTTTCTTGCTCACCTTTATTGTCCATCTTTTTACCCTGTGCAATGGTATTTAGCTCTGATTTTAATTAGCATTTTCCTGATGACTAATGAGGCCTAGAAACTTTATATTTATATTGACATTTTGGAGAATTCCTTTTGTGCAGTGCCCACTAAAATCATCTGCCCATTTTTCTATCGAGTTTTTATGAACTTTCTCTTACTGTGTTTTGGCAAATTTCATTTATTCTGGATGTAGTCTTTTGGTATCTGTGTTAGACATATCTTTTCTTATTATGCGTCTTGACTTTTACTTACCCATATCTTTCAATGAGCAGAAGGTCTCATTTTATTTTTTTGTTTGAAGTCATGATGATATTTGGCTATATTATTTTCTACAAGTAAGTTACATTGTCATTTACATTTAAATATATAATTCATTTAGAATTAATCTTAGTATATGGTGTGAGGTAGGTGTCTGTCTTCTTTTTCTTGTATGGTGTGAATTTGGTGAGTTGTATATTTCAAGAAATTTTTCCATTTTTTCTAAGTATTTGAATTTGTTGGCATACAATGTTGATAATTTCTTTTTTAATTGTTAGTAAGAACTGTACTGGTTACTCTCTTGTGTTCATGATATTGCAGATTTGTATTGCTTCTTTTTTTCTTTAGTTCAGCAATGTGTTTCTTGGTTTCATTGATCTTTACATAAAATGAACTTTGGCTTATTAATTTTCTGAATTGTTTTTCATTTTAAAATTTCATTTACCTTTGTTCTTCTTATTTCCTTCCTTCTTTTTGCTTCACTTTTTATTTTCCTTTTCAGTGTTCTTCAGGTACTACCCTAGGTCAGCATTTAAAGCTGAAAGTTAACCATTTCCTCTAAGCACAACTTTGGCTGAATCTGGAGATTTTGATATGTTGTATTTTTATAATCATTTAGTGCATAATACTTTCTAATTTTCTTTGTGAGTTCTTCTTTAACCCAGATTACTTAGAAGTATGTGCTTTAATTTTAAAAAGATGGATCTTTCTGAGTTAAATTGTTATTGATTTTTAAGTTAATCTTATTGTGCTTAGAGAACATACTCTATATTATTTTAAAAATAATAGATTTTGATTTTTGAGCAACTTTAGGTTTAAAAAAATTTAAACCAAGGATACAGAGAACTCCTGTATTCCCTCTCAAGCCCTCACACCTGCCAGTTTTCTCCCAGCCCCCTGTCACTTACATGCAGTTTCCCCCACGATTAACAGATTAACATTTTGTATTAGTGTGATATACTTGTTACAATTAATGAATCAATATTGATACATTGTTGTTAACTGTAGCCTATTCTTTACATTAAGATTCACTCTTTGTGTTGTATAGTTCTGTGGGTTTTAACAAATGCATAATATGAGTATTTAATATTGTGTTTCCACCGTTACAGCTCTACAATGAGGGAGGGTCTTAATCCTGAATCCACTTCAGGTTGCTCTTCTGATTAAATCACTCAGGGTTCTCTTTTTCTACATTTGGGTCAAGGCAGTGTTCTGGCCCTGGTCCCTAGGACCTGAGACTTAGGGATCCTGTGCTCCCAATGACCCAGGTCAATCCTGTCCTCTTAGTGGATGTTGTGACCTTGGGAAGTGGCCAAAATACAAAGATACAAAATATGGATCTCCTCTGTACATATTTTGGGCCTGGGACTCAATGTTCTAAGAAGAAAAAGTATTTGGGTCAAGGGCATTTCAATGTCAAAACAATGAGGCTGGGCTGGCAGATCTTCTTCCAGTTGGAGCTTTGACCCTCTTACAAGATGGTCCTTCAGGTATGGTTTGCCAGATCTTTAGGTCTCAGCAGGCTCGAAGGTACAGATCATTCTTCAGCACCTGGAGCCCTAGATTGCTCAATTCTCCATTTGCATTTTGGGAGCGTCTATGGTCACTGGCTCTCTGGAGGTGTCTTGACTTGTTTTGGGAGCAGTGGACTCCATGAACTGTTGAACTGCACTGATTTGTCCTCACTCCCCTGGAAGGCATGGGGGCTGGGGTGTCCTGCCCAATGCCGAGTAATGGTAAGTTGTTCACAGAATGCACCTCATAGCCCTGCTCGGTTGTTCTGGACATAATCCTTTCTCTTCTCCAACCACATCTGAATGTGCACCCTCTTTATTGCCCATCTCCAGCTGCTCATGACCAACAAGTTGAAGGATAAAAAAATGTCTAACCACCACATGACAGGTTGCAGCTTAACCCTAGAGAGAGGCCAGTAAGTGATGAAAAGAAGCACACTCTACATGGAGAACACAGTGTGAGAAGGAGGAGGGACAAACCCCTGCCTGATCCCTGCCTCCAGGAGAAGGCTGTGATGGGCAGACATGAGTCTTCCCGACCTGCAAATGTGGGGGCAGAAGAGGCCACCGACAGGAACTCTGGAGATGAGATCCCTGGGAGAGTTCCATAGAAAAGGAAGGGGCCAGGCTGAGTCAGCAGCAAGGTGGTTGGTTCAGCGGGGCAGTGGAGGGGCTGCTGGTAAGGGGTGATTCCATGGATCTGAGGTTGATGAGTGATTCTGGGCGAGGGCATGGGGTCAGGTGAAGACATCTTTCCCTTGTCTCCCCTGGACCCTGAAGGACTCAGAGACTGGGACCCAGTTCTCATGCTCTTCTCCTTAGACAAAACTCAGTCCACCATTATTCTTGAATAATGCAACTTTCTCCCTGAAATTCACACAACTCTGTGTTTCTTTCCTGTTACTCTTTTTAGGAGAGTAAAAATCATTTTTCATTGTCCCTTTTTGGAAAACTCAAAGAAGTGCTTTTTGTGCATGATCTTCTATTGAGATTCTGGTCAGTGTTCCTCTGCCGAGGACAGGTGTGGAATGTCTAGCCCACAGGAGTGTATGTGCCCCATCAGGTAGGACTCTGTTCCCTGAAGACAGAGCTCAGATTTTAGCATCTGATCAGAGGCTTCCAGAGACTTGGTTTTGCTCTTCAGATCAGCCGTGAAACAGGGGCTGGGCCCAGCGATACCTGACATGTGACGGGGGATGTGTGACTCTGTGCTCCCAGACAAATCCTACACTCTCTCAACAATCCGTTCCAAGGACACAGAGTCACAGTTTTTAAAATTTTACCCCGGAGTCCTCTACCATCCCCAGATTAGTCTGTGAGCTTGGACTGAAGGCTTCTGCTGCTGACTCTCTTTTCTTAAAGGAAAATGTCCTATTTTTTCCTGAGAGAACTCAGCTCAGAAGTCTGTTCAACAGAAGTGATTCAGGAAAGTGGGAGGAGGAACAGAGAACACGAGAGTCTCTCTGTGTTCTGGAGGGGTTGGATCTGGGGTCCCTTACCTGATTTCTGTCTCTTTCCCAAATGGTTTCATTTGGAGGAAGTACAGAAAAAGAAGGAAGAGCTACACAGCACACAGTAAGAAGAAAACAAATAAAATGGCCCATGGATGGTGAGCTCAAGCTACAGCTGTTCAGGAGGTAGGGATCCATCCCTGTCTTCCATGGCGTACTCTATCCTCAGGCAGCACTGGGCTCTGGACACTGAGCCTGTGAGCTTTTGCCCAGAGATGCAGCATCACTAAGCCAGGCGACGGTCCTGAAGAACCCTCAGGAGGGGAAAGTGGACCCATGCTCTTTACCTTTGTACAATTTTCTTTCAATATGTCTCCAGATATGAACTTGGTCCAACTGTACCCATTGGCATTCCTTCCTTTGTAGTCACCAGTTCCAAGTTCTGAGAGTTTCTTGTTTTCCCATGATTTTTGATTAATTCCCAGGGCTTTATTCTCTTTTACTCCAGTTTCTCCATATAATCTGGCCTCTGTAGAGTAGTTTCAATGCCCTAAACCCCCCGTCTACTCCACCTATTCATTTCTCCCTTCCCATAACCCCAAGTAACCACTGAACCTTAATTGATTCTGAAAGTTTTACCTTTTTCTAAAACATGTTGTTGGAATCATATGGTCTGTACCCTTTGCAGAATGACTTATTTCACTTAGGAATGGATAAGCTCAGAATTTAAAGTTCTTACCACCTCTCTCTGCTTATGCAGTACCCCACCTTGCTAATCCATTTCTCTGAGGTCCCCAGACTCCCAGCGTAATTTTACCCATAAATATACAGAGTAGTTCTACTCTCCCAAGTATCTATCTCAGCCTTCACAGTTAAACCCATCTGGGTTTGGAGCCTGGGCAAGGTCTTCTGTTCAATAGTAGTTTGAGTTCTATAAGGCAACATATTTTCTTTAAAAAAAAAAAATTATGCCTGCGGTTACTTACCCTGGGAACGGGTTTCTTTTCTTCTTCTTCTTCTTCTTTTTTTTTTTTTTTTTTTTTACCTTCTATTTCCTGTGTTTTCACCCAAACTGATTTTGGTCTCTCAAAAATTCTGAAAACAAATAAGGAAGTTATATACATAAAGTATACAGTGGTCCCTGGGTATTCTTGAGAAATTCATTCTGGAAACCCCCATATCAAAATCCTCAGATGCTCAAGTCTCTTCTATAAAATGACATAGTATTTACTTATAAACCATGTACGTATCCAGTATACTTCAAATCAAGCTTTTCCAACTCGTGGCCTATGGTTCACATGTGGCCCAGGAGGGGTTTGAATGAGGCCCAACACAAATTCGTAAACTTTCTTAAACCATTTTGAGTTTTTTTGTGTGATTTTTTTTCTATTTTTTTTTTAGCTCATTATTTTATTTTTTAGTTCATTAGTTATCATTAGTGTTAGTGAATTTTATATGTGGCCCAGGACAATTCTTCTTACAGTGTGGCCCAGGGAAGCCAAAAGATTGGACACCCCCGCTTTAAATCATCTCCAGATTACTTATAATACCTAATACAACGTAATGCTATGTAAATAGTTATACTAACTATGTTGTTTTATTATTTGTAACATTATTATTGTTTTTTTTTTTGTTTTTTAAGAATATTTTTGTCTGTGGTTGATTAAATCTGCAGATGCTAAACATGAAGATAGGGCCAATCATATATCAGATTTATCTCCCAAGTCTGGCAGAATTAAACAGTGTGTAATACTAACTGCTTCATTACTGACAGTCTGTGACTAGGTATTCTCTGAAACGATATATATTTTCTCTACCATTCTCATCACTTCCTTGTGTCTTCACTGGCAGAGTCATTACCATCCATGTTTCTACTAACACTTTATTCAAGGCAATATCAGCTTTTTCTATCATGTTCCTCAAATTTCTCTCATCCTGTTCCCAATTCCCACTTCTGAAAACACTTCCACATTTTTAGGTATTTTATGTAGCATCACATCCCTTCCAGGCACCATTATGTGTATTAAGTTTCCCTTTGCTGCTCTAACAAATTCATTCAAACTTAGTGGCTTAAAAATGCATATGTACACTTTGGGAGACCGAGGCGGGCATATCACAAGGTCAGGAGTTCAAGACCAGCCTGGGCAATATGGTGAAACCCCATCTCTACTAAAAATCCAAAAAAAATTAGCCGGACATGGTGGCAGGTGCCTGTAGTACCAGCTACTCAGGAGGCTGAGGCAGGAGAATTGCTTGAACCTGGGAAGGGGAGGTTGCAGTGAGCCAAGATCATGCCACTGCACTCCAGCCTGAGTGACAGAGCGAGACTCTGTCTCAAAAAAAGAAAATGTATATGTATTATGGTATGCTTCTGAAGGCCAAAAATCTTAAAAGGGTCTCACTTGGTGAAATTAAGGTGTTGACAGGGCTGCACTGGCTTCTAGAGGCTCTAGGTGGGAACCTATCTTCTTGCCCTTTCCAGCTTCTAGAGACTGTCCACCACGCTGGGTCTATGGCCCCTTCCTTACTAGCATCAGATTTCTCTTACACTCAATATCCTGCCTCTGTCTTTCACTTACAAGGACTCTTGTGATTACACTGGGCCCACCCAGATATTCCAGGATAATCTCTCTTTCTCAAGGTCGCCTAATTGGCAACCTTAATTCCACTTGAAGCCTTAACATATAACATAACACATTTCCAGGTTCTAGGGATTAGGAGGTGGACACGTTTGGGGGTATAGTACTCTGTCTACCACAATTGTCGTATGGGGAAAGGGTTAGGAAGACATCATGAATCACAAACGCATTCTGGTTTATGAAATCTTTGTCAGGAATACATTTACATCCTTGAACTTATTTATATCTTTGTTGTCAAAGTAGAGAATTGACCTCAATATTGTAAAATTTTGCAGACAAAAACTCTCTTAGGAAAAAATTCATAGAAGAAAAAAACTGAGGGTAAGTTCCTGGTCAAAATAGATCATTTCAAATCTGGAGTTGACATAGTTTGTTTGGGAAGTTCCTTTTACCCTTAGGCAGATCATACAGCTTGAAACAAATCTGTTACACTGTAGACATATTTATCATTTTCACCACTTCATTCAATTTGCATGATGAGAAATTCATTTGGGAAGGCTGGAGAATACTTCTCAAATTCCCGCTGTTGATTAAACAGGGCAGAGTAGCTGTGGACCAGAATTGGTAAAGAGTTATATAGAGAGAAAGCAGTGGGAATTGATGTGAGTAATGGTGTCTATCCACGCCTTGAAAAATCCTCTTTAAATTACACTTGTGAGTGGATGGGAGAGCACATTCTCTTGAAGCCACCATCAATCCTCTGCAGAGGTTATAGTTCTCTTTAATACATCAGCGAGCTTCTCTTTCTTGCAAACCCACTCTTCTGCTGTCTAGAGATGAGAAGCCATCGTCTTCACAGTGACAGAAGAACATGAGGGCCATTGATTCAAGAGTGAAATCAAAGGACAGACTATTTAGTCTCAAATCCTCTGGACAATTAAGCTAACCGCCTATGGTGAAGGTTTTCTCAATATAAGGTGTTTGAAATTGGGCTGAATTGAAATTTTGACTGATTCTTTTTTAAAGGAAGTGTAAGAGTCTGCTGATGAAGAACAAATTAATCAGCTTTCCTTGCTAGTTCTTGGAGGATGTTCTGATGTTTTTTAGCTATTGCTTGGGAGTTGTTTATAATCAAAACGTTTACAACCTAGTTCTCTAGTAGAAGCAATTTAGCCTAGAAGTTAGGAACGTACCATTTGGATAATTTCGATTTGGAATTAAATCTCAGCTCTACCATCAGGGAATTGTGTTGGCTTAGGCAAATTAATCAATTTCCTTATCTGTGAAATGGGAATAAACATGTCTAATAGATTGGATGGTTGTTAGTATTAAATGGGACATGTGTACAGCATATAGTGAAGTGCTTCTGTATAATGTCCTGCTATCATCATAATCATCTTTCACCAGACTTCTTAATGTCTTTCAAGAGCCATGCAATTGATGTACCTCTGTTGGAAGCTGAGTATAAAATATAGTATGTCGGAGAATTGTAAAATATTGGTGGGCAGAGGAACGTAAATTTAAAATTCCCTAAAACACTTGGTGCACCAAATAAAATATGACCATGGAACAACCTTGACTTTCAGTTTACTGGCCTTCTCAGAGACCTTTCCCTCACCAATAATCACACAATCTTGGAGCCTTTGGAGCTAGTTACATCAGAATTTTAGGGCCTGGTTCTGCCCCTTCCCTGGCTGTGTGAACCACTTTTAGTTTTAACTAAGCTTAAGCTATAAAATAAGAACATTCATATCTACCTTACAAAGATGCTGTGATGATTAGAGGTAATATCTTTAAAAAGTCTAGGAAGAGCTTTGAAACTATAGATGCATAATGTATGATGGAAATGTATTCTCTCAAAAACAGACATGGAACAGGTTTTTGTCTTCCACCATACTCATTATAGTTATTTCAGCCTTTCTGGAACCACCTACTTCTGTCTCCTCTATGGTGAAATGATTCTTATTTTGCTCTCTTATTATATCACAAAGCCCCACATAATCAGCTGTATTCAGGTTTAATAGGGCACAAGGGAAAAGTAAATATATTCCGTTATCCAGCTACATAAATAGAAAATCGATTCCTGCTATGCCAAGTAGAAAAGCTTTGGCATGTATTGTCTCAAAGTAACAACCATACACATTATAGTCAGATTTTGTGTAATAGTATTGGTACTTTTATACAAATGCAATGTACTTTGTGGTTACTTGTAGAACCATAAATATTGTCTATAACGTGGTTTCTAGGGGAAAATACTCCAACCAAGCAGCTTATACATGAGATACGACATACTAGAGTGAAAATATAGGTTTGGGAGTAAGAGAGCCCTTCATTTAAGTTGCAGGGTTACTGCTTACAAGCTGAGTCTCTTAATCTTTCTGTCCTTGAGTTTCTACATCTGCAAATGGGAATGGCATGCATACATCCCTCTTGCAGTGTTTGGAAAAATAAATGAGACATTGTATGTCGAACATTGGGTAAGCATATAGTAAGACATCAGATATTAGGTGTTTAAAATTATTGTCACCATAGGTTATGTTTAAAAACTCTTTTTAAAGTGAGCCAATGTTTCTATTTAGATTCTTGGAAATGAGAGGGCAATTCAAAAAGGCCATTTGAGATACAAAGCATAATTTCCTAAATAAATATTTTATTTTGTGTATTTATGCAGCAGTTAAGAACCCTGTCATAAAAGCATTTGGTGGTCTTAAACTTAATTATTGTTATTCCCACCTTAACCCTGAGTAAGGCTAAAATCACACACAAAGTAGAGAAATCAGAAATGAGAACCCACTGATGATTTTAGAATAGTGATAAAGGTTTTCTTCTATTATAGTGAAGTTTACTTTAAGGTAAATATATTTTGGAGTCTAATACAGTGTGGCCTTTTCCTAATACTTTCAATAAAATGTTTGTAAGAAAATATAATGCTTTCTATGACATTGTAATTGATTTCTCCTATATCTTTACAGGCACAGACACACTGTTGTGTTTTCCCAGCCCCTGTGTCTTTTATTAAATGAAATAACATGGACATAGTCTCAAATAAAAGAACAAGGGTGAAGATAACTTAGGAGTTTCTGTCTGTGGCATTTTCTGTTACTTATCCTGGGAGGCACTAAAGCATAGTTTCTGTTGATTCACAGTAGGAAATAAAAGTTAAAGAAGTTGACTGTGTAATCCATCTTTCCATACACAAATTAAATGTTTCTCTCAATGTTTATATAGTGCTTATTGCAGAATATAGAGGAATATGCCTTAGCACATCATCTAAGCTATTTTTTACTTGATATTTAGCAAGATGTTAGACCGATTTTAGAGACTAAAAATAATGCTAACACCCATATAATGAGCAGGGCACACCTGATTTTATTCTAAGGTGATTGAATACACTCTAATGTAAAAAAGAAAGTTATTATATAAATTTTATTGACTGTGTTTTCTTATTCTCTGTCTTAATGCTCTGGCATATGGGGCCTCAGTGGCTGGGGGAGAAACTGCCTCTCCCAGGGGTAGCTATTTCCTAGAGATGGCCAACACTTGGTGGTGAGCACACCTTTGATGGGCAAACCAGCCAATCCTGTGTTCATACCTTTCCCTGGCTCCATTTTTCAGACTCCTGCAGTTGGGGACACTATTCCTCTGTGAAAAATCACCCCAGAGCCAAGTACCAGACTACTAGAGACCACTCCTGTATCCCAGAGCTTGACACAGTTATTCACACTATCTGGTGACCTGCTCAGCTGCTTAGCCTGCCTTGCCCACTTCTTTTCCTCAAACCCACAATACAGGCTTTTACCCTCAGTTTCCTCCCTATTTTGCCTCCTGACTGAGGCTGGTGCCTCTTCCTGTGGCCCTGTGCAACGGTGCATGCCTCATCCTCTTGGGGACAGTTAGTAATAAACCATCTTTTTCGTGGGAATCATCTCCTGATCTCTTGGCTTCACTAGAACTGAATAAAACCAAAATCCTGGGTTCATTTTAAGGCATATATCCAGTATATTTTTATAATTAAGATTAGCTTTAGTATCTTAAGGATGATAGAAGAAACCTTTTTTTCCTCTCAAGGAATGGTTGGTAGAGAAAATAGTAACAAAAAGAGTATCTTTCCCCCTCGTTTCGTTCCTTATTTTTCCCCTCTCCCAACAGTTATAGATTATATTTTATGTTAGATGTGACTTTAAGCATGAGGAAATAGCTTTGGGGAGGGAAAATACTCCTCAAAGGAGCCCAGTCTCATGGGAGAACAGACGGAACATCAGTGAGTTTAACCAAGTGTGCCAAGCGCAAGGATGGAGGCCCGTCAAGTTTGGTGAAAAAAAGGAGAAAGGAATGATACACCAGGCTGAAAAGAATGGAGGCAGGGAACATTCCAAAAAGAGAAGATAGTTCAGTCAAGGTTTCCTTCTTCTTATTCTTTAAAAGTCAGGCTTATTGAGGTAAAATTTACATACAATAAAATTTACCCTATAAAAGTGTTCAGTTCCAGGACTTTTGCCATTATACAGTTGTATAATTACTACAACAGTCAAGATATAGTATTTATATCTCCACAGAATGTTATTGTTTTGCCCTTTTGCAGTCAATCTTTTGTTCTTACCCCCAATCACTGGCAATCACTGGTCTGTTTTCTGACCCAATAGCCTTGTCTTTTTCAGAATGTCAGATGAATAAATTCATACATGACATACTTTTTTGTTTCTGGCTCCTTTCACTTAGCTTCATGCTTTTGAGATCAAACCTTTGTGTTGCATATACCAATAATTCATTCCTATTCATTGCTTAATAGTACTCCACTATACGTTTCTACCACAATCTGTTTATCCAGCCACCAGCTGAAGCACATGTGGATTGTTTCCAGTTTCCAGCAATTATAAAAAAGAGTAGCTCTAACCAATTGTGTTCACCTCTTGTTGCGGTTATATGTTTTCACTTTTCTTGGGTAAATACCTGGAATTGGAATTGCTAGGTTATATGCTGGGTCAAACTGTTTTCTTAAGTTGTTGTACCATTTTGCTTTCTCAGCAGTAGTGGATGAGAATGTTATTTCCTTTGCATCCTCGCTAGCAGTTGGTATAGTGAATATTTCTTCTCTATCTTGTTCCAGATTTTAGGCATTCTTCTGGGCATGTAGTGGTATCTCATTGTAGTTTTAATTTGTATTTACCTAATGACTAATGATGTTGAGCTGTGTTCCATCTATATATATTCTTTGGCTAAGTGTGTGTTCAAATTCTTTGCCCATTTGTAAAATCTGGTTGTTTCTTTTATTATTGCATTGTAAGAGTTCTTTTTATATTCTGGATAAAGCCTTTTTACCAGACAGTTTCTTCATTCCGTTTCTCTGTCTTTTCTTCTTTTTTTTTTTTTTTTTTACACAACAGAAGTTTTCAATTTTGATAATGACTAATTTACCTATTTTTAATTTTATAGTCTATGCTTTTTGTGTCATAGCTAAATAATATTTGCCTAACCCACCATCACAAAAATTTTCTCCTAAATTTTCTTATGGAAGTTTTATAGTCCTAACTCTTGCGTTTAAGTCTATGATTCTTCCATTTGAATTAATTTTTATATACAGTGTGAAATAAGACTGGAGCTTCTGTTTAAAGACTATGTTTCCTTGATAACTGAGTTAATCTTCAGCATTCTTACCACCCCCACACAAGGTAACTATGTGAGGTGATGGATATGTTAGCTAGCTTGATTGTGGTCATCATTTCAAAATGTATATATGTATGCCAAAATAGTACATAGCGTATTTTGAATATATACAATATTTCTCAATTATACCTCAATAAAGCTGAAAAAATAAGGACTATACATTTTCTATGGAATTTTCTTAACAAATTTGTTGGAAACCATTTGCATATGTGTATGTGTTTTTCTCTATTCTGTTCCTTGATTTGGTGTCCAGTAAGACACTGTTTTGATTACTATTGCTTACTAGAATGTCTTGAACTCTATTCTTGTAAGTTCTTCAGCTTTGTTCTTTACTTTCAAAATTGTTTGGATTTCTAAAAGTCCTTTGTCTTTCCATATTAATTTTAGAATCAACTCCTCAATTTCTGCAAAGAATCTGCTGACATTCTGATTGAGATTGCAGTGACTCTATAGACCCACTTTGAAAGTATTGACGTTTTACCAATAACAAATTTTCTAATCCATCAACATGGCTTTTTAATGCATTTACTTAGGTCTTCTTTAATATTTATCAGCAATACTTTGTAGATTTCAGTGTATAGTTCTTGCATATATTCTGACCCATTTATTCGTAAGTATTTTATGTTTCGATGCTATTGTAAATGCTATTATTTCTTTAATTCCAATTTTCAACTGTTAGGAAAGTGTACCTCCTAAGCTTTTATGGGCACTCACTTTGACCTTCCAGTTTCTGTTATGCAGAGTGATCAGAGTTTCATTTTGTCACATGATTAAATCTTAGAAACAAAGCAAAATAAGACGAAATACTCAGTTATGACCTGTTTTTATGTTTTTAATTTTTTTTTATTTATCTGGTAACGAACACCTCTCAAGAATAGCTAGGGACTGCTAAGTCATTTCTTCATGTTGCCAGGAGAAGAATTCAGTATTCCCCTTACTTGATGTGCTGGACAGTTGTGGCCAGGCCATGGCCTGTAAGACACATGAAGTGGGCAGATCACCAGTTGGAAGAGTCAGTGGTTAACATGGACAATTATTGATTAAATGTATGTGAAATACATGTAGGAAAGGGAGGATGAGAATATTGAGTGTTCTGAACATTATTGCTATAGCGATGTTGATATTTACTATATGGAAAAATATACAGATATATATTTTATTGTTTGGCTGTTTATTTTTTCCATGAGAATAGCAATATAGTTGAATTTGAATACAATGAACTAAAAAACTAACAGTGCATGCTTATAATAATTTAGTACTTCTGCTTTTCTAAAACGTTGATGGAGAACATGTAATTTACACAAAATATTTGTTTGCAATTACTGTGTGCCATGGAGACCACAGTGATATCAGTGACCACACAGAAACAAAAGACAAACATGCTGAGGAAGCATCAGCATCTTCTTATGATAGTAATATTAAGAATGTGCCTGATGACTGTGATTTAATTTGCAGCTGCAACTGATATTTTCACATATCACTTCGTGAAATATCGTTTATCATTTAGATGCAATGACCGTTTATGAAGGCTTCAATTCACTTTTTAGTTCCAGATTTTCCTATGCATGTATGAAAACTGAAGCAGTAGCTGTGAATATATTCGCTGCATTCACAGAAGAATGTTTCCAGTTATTAAGTGATGCCAGGCTTATATTAATATGTTTGGATCCTTCAAAGAGAAAACTAGTTAATTCCAAAACTGGATCCATCTTTTTTTCTATCCAGTTTACGAATGCAAAGTAAATGCTTTTGATGTTCGGTCTGTCACATGTGAAATATCTGATATTACAGTGGATGCTTATAAAATTCAGTTAAAAGCTTCAAGACTAAAAATAAAATAATTTGGTTTTGCTGCCTTACTACAAATTTGGGTTTTATTTGGTTTTGCTGCATTACCATGAATGGAGGAACGCAGAATCACAGGGAAACAACATAGTTACTAAATTGAGTGACCTTGGAGAGATGTGCTTGGTATTCATTGTGGTGAGCACATAATGTATTATTGCTTCTATTCTATTAATGGTAATGGAAACAATACTTGTCAAAATTTCTACACTTTTAAATATATAACAGTTTTCAGTAACTGAATATAAAATGTTTATCTGGGAAGCTTCCTTGAATACCAGCAAAAAATAGTTTTAGCTGGCAGATGTGCTTTTCATCTTTGCTGCTCACCATCAATCAGATATTAGAAATGTTGTAGACTCTGAAGACTTTGGAAACAAATCTAAATGCCCTACCATGATATTGAGTTATTTTTGAAAATGAGTCATCTAAAATTTTTGTTACATTTTATTCAAAATCAGTGGACATATTTAATCAATGCATTTATGAATGAATGGAGTACCAAAACACGTTAGCTTTTAATGCTTTTAGCAAATTGCAAGTGTTCAAAACAAAACTTATGAAAAGGAAACCATTGCAGTACATCCCCATAAAAGCAGGGGATGATTGGAACAAATTAAATATTATTTCTTAAATGGTTTACAATATTTAAGTTTGAAATTTTATAGCTGCACTTTAAAATATCTCAAATTAGGTAGAAGAAAACCTAGGCATTACCATTCAGAACATAGGCACAGACAAGGACTTCATGTCTAAAACACCAAAAGCAATGGCAACAAAAGCCAAAATTGGGATCTAATTAAACTAAAGAGCTTCTGCACAGCAAAGGAAACCACCATCAGAGTGAACAGGCAACCCACAAAATGGGAGAAAATTTTTGCAACCTACTCATCTGACAAAGGGCTAATATCCAGAATCTACAATGAACTCAAACAAATTTACAAGAAAAAACCCCATCAAAAAGTGGACGAAGGACATGAACAGACACTTCTCAAAAGAAGACATTTATGCAGCCAAAAAACACATGAAAAAATGCTCACCATCACTGGCCATCAGAGAAATGCAAATCAAAACCACAATGAGATATCATCTCACACCAGTTAGAATGGCAATCATTAAAAAGTCAGGAAACAACAGGTGCTGGAGAGGATGTGGAGAAATAGGAGCACTTTTACACTGTTGGTGGGACTGTAAACTAGTTCAACCATTGTGGAAGTCAGTGTGGCGATTCCTCAGGGATCTAGAACTGGAAATACCATTTGACCCAGCCATCCCATTACTGGGTATATACCCAAAGGACTATAAGTCATGCTGCTATAAAGACACACGCACAGGTATGTTTATTGCGGCACTATTCACAATAGCAAAGACTTGGAACCAACCCAAACGTCCAACAATGATAGATTGGATTAAGAAAATGTGGCACATATACACCATGGAATACTATGCAGCCATGAAAAATGATGAGTTCATGTCCTTTGTAGGAACATGGATGAAATTGGAAATCATCATTCTCAGTAAACTATCGCAAGAACAAAAAACCAAACACCGCATATTCTCACTCATAGGTGGGAATTGAACAGTGAGATCACATGGACACAGGAAGGGGAACATCACACTCTGGGGACTGTTGTGGGGTCGGGGGAGGGGGGAGGGATAACATTGGGAGATATACCTAATGCTAGATGACGAGTTAGTGGGTGCAGCGCACCAGCATGTCACATGTATACATATGTAACTAACCTGCACATTGTGCACATTTACCCTAAAACTTAAAGTATAATAAAAAAAAAAATTAGGCCTGTCATGATGTCTCACACCTGTAATCCCAGCACTTTGGAAGGCTGAGGCAGGAGGATCATTTGAGTCCAGGAGTTTGAGACCAGCCTCGGCAATATAGTGGGACCCCCATCTCTACAAAAAATACAAACAGAAAAAATTAGCTCGTGTGTTGGTGTATGCCTGTGGTCCCAGCTACTCAGGAAGCTGAGGCAGGAGGATCACTTGAGCCCAGGTCAAAGTTGCAGTGAGCAGTGATGGTGCTACTGCACTCAGCCTGGGTGACAGAGTAAGACGATGTTTCAAAAAAAAAAAAAAAAATCTCAAATTGTGGGAAATTTTTTTTGATGGAGCTCCTATTTCCAATTGAATAAATTTATATCCTGTACTGGAAAGGATTGAGTTTGAATAGTTCTATGAGTTTTCAACATTTATATTTGGTGGAAGTTTTATAAAAATTAGAGAAGACATTTGAAGGTTTTTATTTTGTACAAATGCTTGTGAAGAAAGGTGCTTGGAATGGAGACAAAAAGCTAGTCAGTACCTACAAGTATATTGGGCTTAAGTATTTACAAAGTTTGACATGAAAACATTAGAAATGAGGATACTCTCCATGTCACAGAGTTTATTCTACTTACCTTGGAACTTGGAGTGTCATTTTTTATTTAAAAGCATTAAAGTCTACAGAGAAGGTCAATTAAAATTTTTCACAATTTCATATTTATTCACTGTAAAATGCAAATTTGAAAAAATTACAAGAAAATGTGCTGATAACATTATATAATTATTATATAAATAATTCTTTCAACGTAATAAAATTTTACTATTATAATCTTACTATTTCATAAGATTATTTTGAAAAATGCACACTTCGGAAAAAGACCCAGGGCATGATATGAGAGACATATGAAGTACGAACAATTATTCTTTTTATGCTATTTTTAAATATTCAGGTAATTAACAGAAACAAATGTGCTTAAATGAACGTGTGTATATGATTTTATTTTTAGAAGATATTTTATTCACTTTTTGAAAGTAGTTTTTGAATATAACTATTTTATAGGTCTAAAAATATGAAACAAACTTGTTAGTCAACACATACATCTTTCAAAAAGTATATATTTTAATAACGTAGCTTTGCTTTTGCTTCCCCAGCTTTCTCAATTTGAATGATAAATTATATGGTCACCCAATCCATCAGTTTAATTCTCCAGTAATTGCCACTGGCAAATTATCTCAGCAAATTCTCTTTCCAAAGACATGTATCTATATTTAAGAAAGTAATTCAAATGTAATTCTTCACTACAAGATTCCTCTTTTACTTAACTATTTCAATACTGTCCACTAGAAGGTTTACGTTAATATAATCTTAGCAAACTAACATAGGAACAGAAAACCAAATGCTGGATGTTCTCACTTACAAGTGGGAGGTAAATGATGAGAACACATGAACACATAGAGGGGAACAACAGACACAGAGGCCTGTTGGAAGGCGGAGGGTGGGAAGAGGGAGAAGATCAGGAAAACAGCTAATGGGTACTAGGCTTGAGTACCTGGGTTCTGAAATAATCTGTACAGCAAACACCCATGACATAAGTTTAGCTGTATAACAAATCAGCACATATATCCTGAACTTAAATAAAAGTTTTTTAAAAAGACAAAAACTGTTACTAGTATTTTGTTAAAATATCTCACGTTTATATGATGAATATTCAAAGTATAGAATCTAATGTATTAATCCTTGTCCATGCCCTTTCTAGTCTATTTATTCCTGATTTCATTATGTTTTATATCATTGTTATAATTATTTATATTATGTTGGGCAGGGGTCAGCAAACTATGGCCTGCATGCCAAATCTGGCCCCTTGCCTATTTTTGTAAATAAAATAAAGTTTCATTAGAACACAGCCACAGTTTTTATTTATACAGTGTTTGTGGTTACTTTCACAACAGTATATTTTTAAGCCGTGATAGAGACCGACAAGCCATAAAGCCAAAATACTTACTATCTGGATATTTACGGAAAAAGTTTGCCAAGTGTAATATAGAGAGAAAATGTGTTAAAAATTATTCTAAGGAGACTTCGATCAGTGGAAATACCTTCCATCTGCTAGAGGTAGGAGAGTCTGGGGCATGGTGTTGTAGAGTCATCATTTAGCTACATAGTATCACAAGCCAATAAGAACAAAATTTGTAGCTTTTTCTTCACTCTGGGTATTTCTAAACAGAAAGTAATATGGGTTGGCTTCACCTCAGATTTAGAAGAAATGATAATTGTGCATCGATTATTAAAAAATCTAACAAAAATTTGTGATTTAGTAAATATGAGACGCATATAATTAAGCATATATTTTATTTGACTTGAATACTGAATTTTTATTGGCTTATGGTCTGTTTTAATGATATTGGCAATTAACATCTGTTAAAAACAAAATAAGGCCGGGTAAGGTGGCTCACATCTGTAATTTCAGCACTTTGGGATGCCGAGGCGGGAGGATCACTTGAGGTCAGGAGTTCACGACCAGTCTGACCAACATGGCGAAACCCCGTCTCCACTAAAAATACTTAAAAAAATTAGCTGGGTGTGATGGCACGTATCCCAGCTCCTCAGGAGGCTGAGGCAAGAGAATCTCTTGAGCCTGGGAGGCAGACGTTGTAGTGAGCCAAGATTGTGCCACTACACTCCAGCCTGAGTGACAGAGCGAGACTCTGTCTCAAAAACAAACAAACAACAACAACAAAACAGAATAAGATTCAGCAATGTCACTGAAGAAGAAGCTTCCAAACATTATTTCAACACAACTCTTCAACATCCCCACCACATAGTCTCTCCATAAGTGCACACACACTTAATGCACATGCTGGGGACACACATGCTGCTATAGACTGAATGTTTGTATGCTCTCAAAATTCATAAGTTGGAACCTTAATTCTCAATGTGATCGTATTTGGGGCATTAGGTCATGAGGGTGGAGCCCTCTTGATGGGATTAGTGCCCTTATAAGAAGAGACAGTAGCAATCTTGCTTTTTCTCCAACCTTCTCTCCATGTGAGGATACAATGAGGAGATTGCTTTCAGCAAGTCAGGAAGAGTGCACTTGCTAGACCCTGAGTCTGCCAGCATCTTGATCTTGAATTTCTCAGCCTCCAGAACTGGGATAAATAAATTTGTGTTTAAGCTACCTACTCCATGGTACACATTTATACAAATACATAAACACTGTTGTAAGTATGAGTGCATGTAGGCATGTACTCATTGTCTATAACGTATTGTACATATTATACCACAGGCTGATTTGTTCAATTAATGTATTGTGACCAGTTTTCATAAAAATAAATTCTATAGTCCCAATATTTTTCCATTTTATGTATAAGCCACAGTTAATTTAACCTTTGTCCTAATTTGAGAAACTTTAATTGATTCCATTTTTTACTATTATAATCATGCTGCAATTACTATCTTATGGTTAATTCATTTCCTGTGTAATTGCTAGAAGTGAAGTTTATGAAACAAAGAATATCCATACAGAATTATTTTTTATTGCTCAATAGCATTCCATTGTGGCTAAACCACAATTAGCTTCTCCATTATCTTGTTCGTGGACATTTGGGTTGTTCTAGTGTTTGGCAATTGTGAATCAGGCTACTGTAAACATTCTTGTGTAAATCTTTGTGTAGCCATATGTTTTCATTTCTCTTGAGTAAATACCTCAGAGCAGAAGTGCTGGGTTATAAGGTAGATTTATGTTTAATGTATCAAAAACTGTCAACAGTCCACCAAAATGGTTGTATCATTTACATTATCACCAGCAAAAGAAGAAGAGTGCCAGTTGTTCCACATCCTCACCAACATTCGGATTTTTAGCTATTATAGTGTTTGAAGTAGTATCTTGTGCTTTTCTTTTGCTTAGTCTTGGTGACTAATAATGTTGAGTATAATTTTTTGTTTCCCTTAGCGAATTAAATACTTTTTTGTTGTCAAGTGTCTGAGTCTTGTATCCAATTTATTTATTTATTTATTGAGATGGAGTTTTGCTCTTGTTACCCAGGCTGGAGTACAATAGCATGATATCGGCTCACTGCAACCTCCGCCTCCCAGGTTCAAGCAATTCTCCTGTGTCAGCCTCCCAAGTAGCTGGGATTACAGGCATGTGCCAAGCCTGGTTAATTTTTGTATTTTTAGTAGAGACAGGGTTTCACCCTGTTGGTCAGGCTGGTCTCAAACTCCTAATTTCAGGTGATCCACCTGCCTTGGCCTCCCAAAGTGCTCGGGTTACAGGCGAGAGCTGCTGCGCCCAGCCTGTATCCAATTTTTACACTGAATTTGGGAGCTATTTTCTTGGTATTTTGTAGTAGTTCTTTATTCCAAATACAAGTTCTTTGTCAGATATATGTGCTGCTGCAAATATTTTTTCCCACTGTCTGAATTGTTTATTCATTTTCTTACTTGGTGTCTTTCTATGGAGAGAAATTTTTAACTTTGTTTCAGTCAGATTCATCTTTTTTGTATTACTTGTGCTTTTGTGTCATTTCAGTCCAACCCCAATATCACAGCAGTATTTTCCTATTTTTTTCCAGAAACTTTATGTTTTGAAATTTTACAGTTTTGTTTTATGCATCATCAAATTTTTCTATATGGATGGATGTAGGTGTTGTCTACAAATTTCTGTTCAGCTTCTTAGTTTCTTAGCCTCTCAGTTAAATTGATTGGCATTTGCCAATGGAAGTAATTGATTAATTGGCACTGAATGTTGAACTCTGGATAATAAATTTATGCAAATTTCTAGTTGTTCTCAGGAGAAAAATTTATCCAAAACAAGGTCATTCAATAGAGCCACAGAAGTTATTCCCCTTGTTTTTAATATTTAAGTTTTTCCATATACTCAAATATTATTCTCTATTCATGGACATCCAAAATGGCTTCACTGACATATCTTGGTGGGAATAGCTAGAAGGCCAGGCTCAGCTGGAACTGTCAACTAGAGTGCTTACAGGTGGCCCCTAAAGCATTGAACGAAGCAGAAACTGCATGGACTTTCATGAGCTACACTCAAAAGTCACTTAGCATCATGTCTGGTATATTCTATTGGTTGAAGTATTCAGTAGCCTAACTCAGTTCCAGGGGAGAGTACTTAGGCTCCACCTCTTAATGAGAGAAGTAGTAAAGAGTTTGCATTTATGTTTAAAACTACCATGGTCTGCTTTTGGGACACTTATATTTACATTTCTCTAAAAAGCAAATTATATTCACCCTCTCCTAAGACTCAGCTTCCAGAAGCTTCATCCTGTTACAGCATCGGGCTCAGGCTGGAGGTTTAGAATCTCATCTGAAATCATGTCCAAGGGCAAATAAACCTCTTTGAGTTCATTTCCTTGGGCACAATTCTATGTATTTTGAAGAACTGTGAACTTCAGAAACAATGCCTTGCTCCCCCAAGGCACACACATGCATGGTACTGTGATGGTACACACTAGACACTCCCATGGATAAAGAGGGTAAATGGGAGGCATGTGTCAGTCACTAGTAAAGCAATTCTTAAATTCAGCTCTGGGCATATTGTCTTTCATGAATGAAACTTGGTCCTGCTCTCTGTCAATAATTCTCTGCAATTCTTGGTTCTGCCCTTTGAGCAATCCTTTTCCTAAAACATAGCCAGTTTTGCAGCTAAGTAACATTATCAGCCTGCTCTGTGCCCATAGAAATTTGGGGTTTCTGAAGTCTGTACACTTTTTATTGTCCCTATCCATTTTAGTCAAGGTTGATACACTTTCTTTGAAAAGTTTTGAGATCTCTCCTGTATCAGTTTATAAATAAACTCTATTATGCAAATGCACACACACGTTTTAAGATAAATCTGTATCTTGGCTCCCTACCCTATGAGGCTGCTGTGGGAAGCATCTTTAGTTGTCTTAGAAGCACTACTGTCTAGCTAAGAGGATCTAAGGTATACTCTTAATGTTCTTAGCTTTCTATGTAAATTAAAGTGTGTTTGAGGCTCTGACTTAAATCTGTGTGCCATCTTATGAAAAGATTTTATAGGCAGAACTTGGATTCCTTCAGCCTGTGTTTTATTTGCAGTGTTCTGAATTTGATCTTTTCCAGGTTATCTCTTTGAAAATATTGTCTTTCCTGGAAAGATAGTCCTGGGCCTTTTACATTTCCTCCAAATTTTATTCAAATATTGAACAGTTTCCTTTTTTTTGGCTCATTGTGCTCCCTTTTAATTTTATTATAGGTACCTAGTAGAGATCAGATGGCATCTCTAACACTTCCCTGAAAATTTCCTTAGCTAGATTATTTAATTCATTAGGTATATTTCCTATTTTCCCTGTTGTTTTAGGTGACAGTGTTGCCAAACTTTCTTCCAATATGTAACAAGGATATATTTTTTTACAGTTTCATATGTTCCTCATGTTACATTAAGCCCTCTGATATCCAATAGTCAGATTGAAGACTGTTATGCTTTCATCCATTGCCTGTTCCCTTCATCCATGCCACATGTTATACCTTTGGTTTTACCACTTCTGTTTTCAAATTCTGTTCCAGTCATCTGTTGTTACATAACGAACTATCCCAAAACTTAGTGGCTTAAAATATCAGTCATTTTAACATATCTCTCAATTTCCTGGGTCAAGCACTCAGAGAGTTTGGCTGTGTGTTTTTTCTGCTCAAGGTGGCTTTGAGGAAGGTGATTCCATGACATTGTCCTGGCAAAAGAGCTGGATGGGATCATTGGCTTCAGTCACATGTCTTGTGTCTTTACAGGGATGGTTGAAGGCAGAACTCAACTGAAGTGTTGACCAGACATAGCTTCCTCAGCATGGTATTCTTAGGGTAGAAGGCTCCTTACATGAAGTCTCAGGGTTCTAGTAGTGAATGTCCTATTGAAGAAGATAAAATTTATGGTCTTTTAGTCATTTTTAAAACCTTAGAAGACACATTGAGTCACTTTTAAAGTGCTGTATTGGTCAAAGCTATCAGAAGCCTACTCTGATTAAAGAGATCTCATAGAGTCCCAAATCTCAATGGGAGGTGTTAAAGAATTTGCTTGCTACATTTAAACCCTGTTCCATTAGGATCAATGCTGTTTTGTCTTGTTTGTTTGTTTGAGCTTACTTGCTTCTCTGAATATGAGATCTGAGGATATATCCTCCAGGAACTCCTTCAGTTGCTCCCAATTTTAGCATTTCCTTTGCATAATGGAAATTCCAGTCTCTCTTTCTTCCTTCTATTATAGCTTACAGAATTGCCTCAAAATTTTAAGCATTTGTATGGAAGTTATTTTGTAAAATTCTAGTCATAATACAGATTTAGCTTTCTGCGTTTCTCATTAATTTTGAGGAAGTTTAAGGTAAAAAGTGCTGGAAGTCTATGTATAGTCTCATGTTTTCATCTGGAATCCAAAGTACAGGCAAAATTTATAACCCATGTTTAGCAATAAAGAAATAAATTATTTGTAAAAGAGATGTTCAGCTTAAGGTACTTGAGGGATATTCATAGGAAGATACCTAATTGCTATTTAGAGTCATGCATAGATTTTATTTTTTTTAACAAATTGACACTATTTATTGGCAAAGAAAAAGTATAATGTTTTCTACGCCAAAAACTAGCCATTTCTGTCATATGAATAAAAGGTGGTATATATACATAATGGGTGAGTATATCTAAATCCTTCCCTATAAGGCCATTAAAAAAGATTAATTTTTCAGTAGCCCATTAATCATAGAACAATTAAAGAACTATATAAAAATTAAACGTAACTACATATTGGAAGAATATGTGAATTTATTTACACATCTAACACACTTTAAAATAGATAAAGAAAATTTTTATTAGCTGGCTTAAAAATACTGTTAAACTCATGTACTATTGGCAAAAGAGTACCTACAGACTTCTCACCTCAATGTTTCCTTGCAAAAGAAGTGGAAATACGTAATCCAAAAGCTTTTTAAGAATAAGCCACTGATGAAAACAATATGTGTATTATTTTAACATATTCACGTGATGCCTCCAGCTTTGTTCTTTTTGCTTAGCATTGTCTTGGCTATACAGGCTCCTTTTTGGTTCCATATGAAATTTAAAGTAGTTCTTTCTAATTCTATGAAGAAAGTCAGTGGTAGCTTGATGGGAATAGTATTGAATCTATAAATTACTTTGGGCAGTATGGCCATTTTCATGATATTGATTCTTCCTATCCACGAGCATGGAATGTTTTTCCATTTGTTTGTGTCCTCTCTGATTTCCTTGAGCAGTGGTTTGTAGTTCTCCTTGAAGAGGTCCTTCACATCCCTTGTAAGTTGTATTCCTAGGTATTTTATTCTCTGTGTAGCAGTTGTGAATAAGAGTTTGCTCATGATTTGGTTCTCTGTCTCTTATTAGTGTATAGGAATGCTTGTAATTTTTGCACATTGATTTTGTATCCTGAGACTTTGCTGAAGTTGCTTATCAGATAAGGAGTTTTGGGGCTGAGATGAAGGGGTTTTCTAATTATAAAATCATGTCATCTGCAAACAGAGATAATCTGACTTCCTCTCTTTCTATTTGAATACTCCTTATTTCTCTCTCTTGCCTAATTGCCCTGGCCAGAACTTCCAATACTGTGTTGAATAGGAGTGGTGAGAGAGGGAATCCCTGTCTTGTACCAGTTTTCAAAGGGAATGCATCCAGCTTTTGCCCATTCAGTATGATATTGACTGTGGGTTTGTCATAAATAGCTCTTATTATTTTGAGATACATACCATCAATACCTAGTTTATTGAGTATTTTTAGCATGAAGGGGTGTTGAATTTTATGGAAGACCTTTTCTGCATCTATTGAGATAATCATGTGTTTTTTGTCTTTGGTTCTGTTTATGTGACGGATTACGTTTATTGATTTGCCTATGTTGAACCAGCCTTGCATCCCAGGGATGAAGCCGACTTGATCGTGGTGGATAAGCTTTGTAATGTGCTGCTGAATTTTTATAGAGGATTTTCACATTGATGTTCATCAGGGATATTGGCCTGAAATTTTCTTTTTTTGTTGTGTCTCTGCCAGGTTTTGGTATCAGGATGATGCTGGCCTCATAAAATGAGTTAGGGAGGATTCCCTCTTTTCTATTGTTTGGAATAGTTTTAGAAGGAGTGGTACCAGCTTCTCTTTGTACCTCTGGTAGAATTTGGCTGTGAATCCATCTGGTCCTGGGCTTTTATTGGTTGGTAGGCTATTCCTACCTTGATTTCAGAACTTGTTATTAGATTCTTCAGGGATTCGACTTCTTCCTGGTTTAGTCTTGTGTCCAGGAATTTGTCCATTTATTTATCCATTTATTATGTGTCCAGGAATTTATCCATTTCTTCTAGATTTTCTAGTTTATTTGCATAGAGGTGTTTATAGTATTCTCTGATGGCAGTTTGTATTTCTGTGGGATCAGTGGTGATATACCCTTTATCATTTTTTACTGTGTCCATTTGATTCTTCTCTCTTGCTTCTTTATTAGTCTGGCTAGTGGTCTGTTTTGTTAATCTTTTCAAAAAACCAGCTCCTGGATTCATTGATTTTTTTGAAAGGTTTTTCATGTCTCTGTCTCCTTCAGTTCTGCTCTGATCTTAATTATTTCTTGTCTTCTGGTAGCTTTTGAATCCGTTTGCTCTTGCTTCTCTAGTTCTTTTAATTGTGATGTTAGGGTGTCAATTTTAGATCTGTGCTGCTTTCTCCGATGGGCATTTAGTGCTATTAAGTTCCCTTTAAGCACTGCTTTAGCTGTGTCCCAGAGATTCTGGTACATTGTGTCTTTGTTCTCATTGGTTTCAAAGAACTTATTTATTTCTGCCTTAATTTCTTTATTTACCCAGTAGTCATTCAGGAGCAGGTTGTTCAGTTTTCAAGTAGTTGTGCGCTTTTGAGTGAGTTTCTTAATCTTGAGTTCTAATTTGATTGCATTGTGGTCTGAGAGACTATTTGTTATGATTTCTGTTCTTTTGCATTTGCCAAGGACTATTTTACTTCCAATTATGTGGTCAATTTTAGAATAAGTGCTATGTATTGCTGAGAAAAATGTATATTCTGCTGCTTTGGGGTGGAGAGCTCTGGAGATGTCTATTAAGTCCGCTTGGTCCAGAGCTTAGTTCAAGTCCTGAATATCCTTGTTAATTGTCTGTCTCGTTGATCTGTCTAATATTAATAGTGAGGTGTTAAAGTCTCCCACCATTATTGTGTGGGAGTCTAAGTCTCTTCATAGATCTCTGAGAACTTGCTTTATGAATCTGGGTGCTCCTGTATTGGGTGCATATATATTTAGGATCATTAGCTCTTCTTGTTTGCATTGATCCCTTTACCATTATGTAATACCCTTCTTTGCTTTTTTTTTTTTTTTTATCTTTGTTGGTTTAAAGTCTGTTTAATCAGAAACTAGGATTGCAACCTCTGCTTTTCTTTTGCTTTCTGTTTTCTTGGTAGATCTTCCTCTGTCCCTTTATTTTGAGCCTATGTGTATCTTTGCATGTGAGGTGGGTCTCCTGAATACAGCACACTAATGGGTCTTGACTCTTTATCCCATTTGCCAGTCATGCTACCTGACCTCAAGCTATGGTACAAGGTTACAGTAACAAAACACCGTGGTACAATAACCAAAATAGCATGGTACAGTAACCAAAACAGCAAGGCTACTGGTACCAAAACAGATATATAGACCAATGGAACAGAACAGAGGCCTCAGAAATAACACTACACATCTACAACCATCTGATCTTTGACACACCTGACAAAAACAAGCAATGAGGAAAGGATTCCCTATTTAATAAATGGTACTGGGAAAACTGGCTAGCCATATGCAGAAAACCAAAACTGGACCCCTTCCTTACACCCTGTACAGAAATTAACTCAAGATGGATTAAAGATTTAAACATAAGACCTAAAACCATAAAAAACCCTAGAAGAAAACCTAGGCAAGGATTTCATGACTTCAAAACTAAAACCAAAAGCAATTGCAATAAAAGCCAAAATTGACAAATGGGATCTAATTATACTAAAGAGCTTCTGCACAGCAAAAGAAACTATCATCAGAGTGAACAGGAAACCTACAGAATGGAAGAAAATTTTTGGAATTTATCCGTCTGACAAAAGGCTAATATCCAGAATCTACAAGGAACTTAAATGAATTTACAAGAAAAAACCCAACAACCCCATCAAAAAGTGGATGAAGGATATGAACAGACACTTTTCAAAAGAAGACATTTATGTGGCCAATAAACATATGAAAAAAAGCTTATAATCGCTGGTCATTAGAGAAATGCAAATCAAAACCACAATGAGATACCATCTCACGCCAGTTAGAATGGCAATCATTAAAAAGTCAGGAAACAACAGTTGCTGGAGAGGATATGGGGAAATAGGAATGCTTTTACACTGTTGGTGGGAGTGTAAATTAGTTCAACCATTGTGGAATACAGTGTGGCGATTCCTCAAGGATCTAGAATTAGAAATACTATTTGACCCAGCAATCCCATTACTGGGAATATACACAAAGGATTATAAATCATGCTGCTATAAAGACACATGCACACATATGTTTATTGCAGCACTATTCACAATAGCGAAGACTTGGAATCAACCCAAATGCCCATCAATGATAGACTGGATAATATGGCACTTATACACCATGTAATACTATGTAGCTATAAAAAAGGATGAGTTCATGTCCTTTGCAGGGACATGGTTGAAGCTGGAAACCATCATTCTCAGCAAACTAACACAGGAACAGAAAACCAAACACCACATGTTCTCACTCATAAGTGGGAGTTGAACCATGAGAACCTATGGGCACAGGAAGGGGAACATCACACACTGGGGCCTGTCGGGGAGTGTGGGGGCAAGGGGAGGGATAGCATTAGGAGAAATACCTAATGTAGATGACAGGTTGATGGGTGCAGCAAACCACCATGGCACATATATACCTATGTAACAAACCTGCACATTCTGCACATGTATCCCAGAACGTAAAGTATAAAAAAAATTTCACATGAATTTTTCAATGCATTGTTGAATAATTAATTTGAATCAGGCTTTCCACATTACTTATGTTTATAGGATTTCTTTCCAGCAAGGGTTTTCAAATGACTTTTAAAGTAATTTTTAAAATTCAGAACTTTTCTGTATTTCCCAAACTACTGGGATTTTAATCTCGTGTGCTTTCCTGTATTTATAGGGTCCATCTCCATGGTGCATTTTCATGAGCCTTTGAATGAATATGAGAGAAATAAAGGCATTTCCACATCCCATGCATTAATGTTTTTCTCTGCAGAATAAGTTATTTTATGTCACCAAATGTAACTGGCATAACTAAAGACCCTATCACATTTTGTGCATTCATTAGGGTTCCCTTCAGTGTGGTCCTTTCAATGTTTCTGAAAGAACTGAAAAACCAGATGGCTTTTCCACATTTTTTACATTCACAGGCTTTTTTCCAGTTTTATTCCTTTCATGTCTTTGAAGGAAACTGTGAAAATTAAATGCTTTCCACATTCCTTACCTTCATAGGATTTCTCTTCGATATGTGATCTTTCATGTATTTGACAGAAAGTGGAACAACTGAAGTCTTTTCCACAATTTTACAATCATAGGGCTTTTCCCTATGAACAGCTTTTTTATATGCTCAAAAGAAACTGAAAAAAGTGAATGCTTCACCACATTTCTTACATGCATAGAGTTTTTCACCAGTGTGTCTTTATATGTTCTTGCAAGTTAGCAAGACAATGAAATGCTTCCCCACATTTCTTACATTCACATGGCGTCTCTCCAGTATGAGTTCTTTCATGGTAATGAAGGTTACTGGAACAGCTGAAGGTTTTACTAAATTTCTTATATTCATGAGGTTTCTCTCCAGTGTAAGTTTTCTACTGGAGTGACTAAAGGGTTACCACATTCCTCACATTTATACAGTCTCACTCCAGTATGAGTTCTTTCATTGTCTTAAGGGGAACTGGAATATCTGAAGGCTTTACCACATTTCTTAAATTTACTGGGATTTTCTCCAGAATGAATGCTTCAGTCTGAATGCTTTTCCACACATTTCTTACATTCATAGGGTTTCTTTCCTCTGTGAGTTCTTTCATGTATGAGAAAGGAACTGGAAAAACTAAAGGCTTTACCACATTGTTTACATTTATCGGATTTCTTTCTCATGTGACTTTCCTGAAGTATCTGAAGTGAACTGTGAAAATCAAAGACTACCATGTCTCTTTGAACACTTGTAAGATAAATGAAGGCATTCCAACATTGATTGTCATTATATGGTGTCTTTACACATTACTAATAGTCATATGATTTGCCTGTAGTGTGAGATATAATGTGCTTTAAATTTTTCCAAGAATTCTTTACTGATCTTCAATGTTGACATTCCCATTTGTTTCCTATAGAAGCCAGGATTATGATGATTTCCTGCATCACATCTTTGTAGAAATTCTGAGAAGGATCCAGCCAAGCCCACTTCTGTTGGGTGAAGGTCACAGTCACAACTTCAAAGGCAACTAAGTTCGTATTCCAACTTCCTGGGTGTCCTGGCATCCTCCCCATGCATGTCCCAGTACCTGCAGGTCACAGAGTGATAAAGGCTGTGGCAGAACTCCCTGGGCCTCCTACAGTGAAGAAGAAGGAGCAGCGAAGACTGACTGAGCAGTGGACATGTGGGCATGAAAGACCTGAGTAGATTTATTTATTGAAATGTGAGTTTAATATTGTACTAGGCTCAGCTAGTTTTTATGAATGAAAGATGCTAGTTTTTTAAATTCTTCTAATTTCTTCCTTAATTTCAAAAAATAAATCAGCCCAAAGGAGAGGATACAGAGCTTCTACTTCAACTAGTTCACAGGCTAGTAGAAAATTATTAAGTCAATATGTTATAAATTATTTTTGTACATGATATAAGAACCCTAAGGGTTTTTAGAAAACTAGAATGTTTATTTGTTTTAAAAATTACTTGCTATTACAGAAAAGATTGGGAAGTCAAGTAATGGAAAGAGGAAGAGAAAGAATGCCAAAAGTAGTGGAAATTGAGCCTGTTCTTTCTTTGATGCTTTGTTGCTTTTACTCATTCATTGATTTAATCATTTGTGTATCAGTCCATCCATCTGACTAACCTAAGCAGAAAATGAATTTATTTGCAGAAAACCGTGCAGTTCATCGAATCAAAGTCCTGAACACAGAAAACAAGGCAGGAAGACATCACAGAGCACAGTCAGGTAGGTTTACCCAAGCTTGTTCATGGTCTTCTTATAACTATGATTGCCAATCATAGTATCCATAAACTCCTAAGAGCACAGATGCCACTGTGAATAAGCTTTGTCTTCTATGCTTTGTTTTCTCCCATGTGGATTTATAGTCTTAAGTAGGAATGTTCAGTTGGCCAATCCTAGATCTCATGCTTATCCTCTAACTTCCAGATGTCAGAAAATGAGCATTTCTAGTCTCAAATGACTTCTGTCACCTTTGACTATTACCAAGACTCATGTACTAGAGGTTTCAGTAAAAGCCAGGTTACTATGTGGATACTGGAGTATTAAAAAATAACATATTTTCACTATGGCCAGTCATTTTTTCAGACTCTGTATTGAATGCTCCAGACATAATAATAAATTTTTTTTCCCTGCTTGTAAGAATCTCGTACTGTGATAATTAAAGATCTCAGAAATTAGTGATTTATATTATTTTATTACACAGGACATAGCCACTAGACCAGCTGCAGGCACCACTGGGAGACAGGCTAGTTGGTACCAGAAAGCTTCCTGGAGCACTGAAACTTAGGAAGGATTAACAGAAGTTAGCCAGTGATGGAAATGTTGAAGACATATGATCTATGCTAATGGGTGAGCATGATTGAAGTTTTAGGGGAAGCAGAAAAAGTATCTCATTCTGTAAGTTTAAGATGTTCAGAGCAAATAGTTTTGCAGACAGTAACATGCATTTTTCCTGGAGAGGTACCATACCAAGAACAGTGCCGTATGCCATACTAAGATGTTTAGACATTATCTTGAGGGAATGGGAAGAGGAGGACAGAGGGTGGCTTTGAGGGATTTTAATCAGGACAGGGGAGTAATTTTATTTGGTCTTTGGAAAAAAATACTCTGGGTTATACTAAACATTATGAATTTAAGGCTGGGGGAAGGGGACAAGTTAGGAGGGTGTTCTAGGGAAAAGTCCATGGAGATGGAAATAAATACGCTGGGTATATTACTTACTTAGAAACTTGAACATTCTTTTGCTGAAAAACTAAAAATATTTTTTTCTTAGTATAATTGAATGCAAAGTTAAAGCACTCTAGGGGAGATTTAATCTGGGTTTCATTTCTTATTTCTCAAATTCCCTATCAGATTAGTTTAGTGGAAACATTATTGTTTTCCTTTACCAATTGTGAGTAGTTTTCTGTTCTGCAATTAGTGAAATTTACCAGCATGACTGTAGCTGGCCCATATACAATATCATCTGGCACTGTTTCAGAGCACAAGACCTTATATTAGAGAACAATGCACTCTCATTTAGTCCTGATCAATTTTGAAAGCTTCAAAAATATTTGCTCCTCCTCGCTTCTCAGCTTCATTAATGAAAATACAACTATTAAGCCAGAAAATTCTCTAAATTCTATATTTAATAAACAGCTCTAATAATGATAATGATTTCAGTTTTCAAACTTGATATTTTGTGCTACAATTTTGGTATCTGTATTATCCAACTTTAACCACCAATTATTTGAGAAATCTTCTAATATAAATTTAGCATTGCATAATAACCTGCAGGAATATTATTAGAAAACAAAGTGCTCATCATTTTTTTACTGTTAAATGCTAGTTAAATGGATAACACAACTACGAAGCCCTTTGAGGAAGGCATAGTTAAGAACATTGCAGTAACTGATAAATCCAAATGTTCCCTGAACCATTCCTCATATCAATAACCCACACTCTTATTCCATTCTTCTATGCATGAGAACTTTAAAGACAGAGGAAAAATTTCCAAAGTCATTCTGAATTGCTGTTTATTCAAATTATACATAAAGATTTCCTGACGTGGTATGTTCTATGATGAGCAGGCCTCTACAAATCTACCTTCAAAGGCCAAGAGAACTGAGAGACCAAAGAAATAGGGACTATGGAACAAAAGCCATTATCTTCGGTGGCTGTGAGACAAGATGGTGGATCCTGGCAACATTACCCCTAAGACCCAAGGCTTACACAACATAGGGAATCAATATATAGGACAATTGAATTCGACCCCTCAGGGAGAAGCAAGAGTGCTATGTGCATTCGCCTAAAGTCAGGATTTATGGTCAAGCTTGTTTTGACCTAAGGGAAGGACTTATGGTAACAGTGTATAAAGTAGAAATCCTAGAGGCATTTCCAGAACAGGGGTTAATCAAAAGGCAACATAGTGGATTAGCACCCAAGATGGAGTTGCTTTATTTTTAGTGAGCATTCTGGATTATAGGCCCAAATCATTTCATTTCCTCTTCAGAATTCATGGATTTTCAAAGATGTGTCACAATAATCAAGCCTAAAACTTGAGATAGGACAGATGGTGGCCAGGGTTCAGAGGAGGAGTGGTAGCAGAAGGAAAATTCAGATAATGACTCTATAATGATGAAGACTCAAATCATTCCATGCTACCAGAAATTCTCACAGTACCTTTCTGTCAAAGATGACCCCTTCCCAAAAAGTTATCATGTGTCACAAGAGACCCTTAACTACAGGCCAAAACAGTTTTTTGAAAGCATGCCCCTAATGGCTTACTCAATTTGCTAATGTTGTTATTCATATTTGCTTCACATCAAGCTGGATAAATAATATTTATAAATTTAAGTTCCTAAGGAGCTGATGTATGGATGTATCCGCCTGCAGACTACTACAATATTGCCTTTATATTTTTAGTCAGTGGTTTTTATTACCACCAAGTGTGACCCTGATTTTTGTTTTCTTTGAGATGGAATCTTGCTCCTGTGGCCCAGGCTGGAGTCCAGTGGCGCGATCTTGGCTCACTGCAACCTCTGCCTCACGGGTTTGAGCAATTCTCTTGCCTTAACCTCCTGAGTAGCTGGGATTACAGGTGCCCACCACCACACCTAGCTAATTTTTGTACTTTTAGTAGAGATGAGGTTTCGCCATGTTGGCCAGGCTGGTCTCGAACTCCTAACCTCAGGTGATCCACCTGCCTCAGCCTCCCAAAGTGCTGGAATTACAGGTGTGAGTCACTGAACCTGGCCGGCCCTGATTTTTTATAGATGTAGATCAGCTCAGCAGTTCATATCCTCAAAAGAAAATCTTCTTATAAATTTCTGATACATAAAGATGTGCATCTATATGTATGTTCACAAACATACATACAGTTTGTAGCTCCAGCTGCTGAGAAGGCTTGACACAATGATGCCCAGAGAACAATGAACTCACCTAGCATTCCAATCTTGGTGTCTAAAACCTAGAATACTTGGTTTCTAGATATTCCTTTATAAAAGGAATCAGGAATTTTTGGAGAAATGAGTGCTTCCATGGCCGTGTGTGAGAAAATATAAGATGAACTAGGAACATGTTGAAAGTGGTTCCAGAAAGTAAGGAAGTGCTTAAAAAATTACATGGTCAACTTGAATGGATACAAAAGCAAACCTGAAAGAGTTCCCAATGGCCAAAGCTGGGATACTCTGGGCAGCAGAATAAGTAATGACAGTATTGGATTATAACTCAGAATAGAGAATTATCCATGAGTTTGTACAGAGCATCTATATCTATATCATCTGTATCATCTATATCTGTATCTTAAATAAATACATACATGGGGAAAAAAGATAGCTCTCCTTTACTGAAGAATTTCAGTTAACAAATGTAAATCAAAATAGACTTGCCTCATCTTTTCTCACACTTAGGATCTCTATATCTGTCCTAGTACCCACCTAATACTCATCTGTACTAGTATCCACCAAATATTTTGGGATGCTTACACATCTCCCAAGCCGCTCCTCTAGTTCCCAATGTTTTCTCCTTTGAAAATGTTTTATGTTTTTCCTCCTACACAGATTAGATTTCTAGAACTACTTCCCTTAGTTATCTAAGCTTCTCAGGAAAACCAATGGTTCTTCCCACTGTTACCGAGTGATTCTTCTTCCTTTCATTCCATATCTCAAATTTTACTCTTGATTTTACTTGTTATATTAAAACACTTTTTAAACTACCTGTATTCTGGCACTGCACACTTCCAAGAGAAGAGATTGCAGGAACAAAAACAACCCCGACGACTCTGGGCAGATTAGGGAATGACAGATATTCTTCTGGATTCTTGTCTTAATTACATTTGATTGCCTCCCTCTTCCACCTCAAGCCCATACATAGGCTTTGTAAGGATGATCTCTGTCGCTATGTCATGAACTTTATGTGCATGAATGCATTACATTTCCTCCCCTACCACGCAGACAATATTATCTTCATTTAAAAAATATAGAAACAGACACTCATAGAGGTTAAATTATTTTCCCAAGGCTACTTGACTAACAAATAATTCAGTCAGAAATTGAATCCAATGGTGTTTTAAACTTTAAAGCTAATTCAGTTTCTTCAAATTGGATTACAATTGTTGTATTCCTATTGTAATGCTTTATATCCATAAACGCCTTGATTTTTTTTTTTGTCTGTGGAGTATATTCGGTCATGAAATTTGTACTTTGGGTTTCTGCCCTATGGATAATAGGAAATGAGTCACTTTTCTTGTATCCCTGCATCTGCAGGACATGCACTCCTCAAAAGTTCACGTGACATCATTGAGTCCTTGTTTCCTGTGACTGTCACCTCTGCTTTCTGTCCCATAGGGCTTCCTGACTTAGTCAATATCATTGGAGTTTTGACAGAGATTTTCCTATTAGTTGATAAAACCAACTCTATACAGTCTTATTTTGTTTTCTTAAGATGAAAGAACAAAAGGAAGGACATAGTTCAGAACCAAAAAAAAAAAAAAAAAAGAAAAAAAGACTTGTCATTGCGTAAAGTGAGAGGAGGGAGAGTCAGAGAGAATGTAAAGAAAGCAACAAAATTTGAGGTAGGGCAGGCATGCAGCCTCCTAAAATGGATGGGTGGACAAAGGGGATAGTTTCTGAGTCCAATTTTTATGTCTGTGTTTTCATGAGAAAACATGAACATTGTGTTTCCATTTTGGTGACCTCCTCTAATAACTTTCTCTCTCTCTCTCTCACACACACACACACACTCACACACACACACTTTTTTTTTCTGGGAGAGGGGGTCTTTCATTTCTTTCAACTGTAGCTTTAAAAAGTCAGTGAATTAGGACTATCTAATTAAAAAGTGAAACCTATATTTGGCACCACATAAGACCATAAAATGGTTCTTTAATTTTTTCTTTAGAATTTTCTTTAAAAATTTCAGTCACACTGATGTGTATATAGACTCTGGCAATTCTATGCTTAGTTTCCATTGAAAGTGGTTCTACAGGAAGAACTGATTCCAGAGTATCTAAAATCTCTGCTAACATTGATGCAAAGAGAAAATCCATCAAAATCACACTTTTTTTTTGACGGTTCAGGTATACTAGATAAACACAATTTCATCTAATACTCACTTTAATAAGTAAATCCAGGGCATAAAGGACGGGGGGAACAAAAGAATGGAAACATTCCTGAATTGTAATTGATGGATAGGTCAATGTATAGTATGATCAGACATTAGTTTAAAAAATTAAAATGAATTCAAACAGAGTTTACCCTTTTTATCTAATTGCAGTATTTCAGAGAAAGCACATCTAGTTCGGATCATTACCTTGGGCTGAAAACCCATATTCTTTATTTTTTACCTATCTTTAGTATTTGAAACAATAATTTTCCCATATGACTCAGTTTTTTCAACCTATATGTCAATGCATTTAACTGAAGATTTCATTTGTTAGTCATGAGTGAAAAGGAGGCATAAGATCCCACATCATCTCATCATGTCTTCCATAGGAGTTTTCTAAGTAGCAAGATTTATTGATCAAGTAGATTTTCTGATTACCAAACTTGCCAGTAGTATTTTTTTTTCCCAATCCAAGTAAATAAACCCTTCAGAAATTATTCTGAATCAAATTATTTGGTATCTGGACTGAGAAAGCTGAGGAAAAATATGCAGTAACTATTTTATGTTTATTTTGCATCACACATTGTAAAGTGCTAAGAGAAGAGCAAATGCTTTAATTAAAAAGAACAATTTTCTTAGGAAAAACAATCACTATGTTTGCTAACTGAATCTAATGTGTTGCATAGCCAAACTGGGGCTTTAATATATGCCATCTTTTTAAACGTCAAATCAACCAGCAGCCGTTGTGACTGCATATTTATTCAGTGTAATTGATAGAAATGTTTAATTAAGTATTATGAAGGGTAATTCTCTAGCTTTCTCTATCAGACAAATTGAAACCACCACCAGCTTCTGAGATTATTCTTGTATAATTAAATAAAAACACCCAAAGAACAGAAAAGCAACACTGCCAGAGTTCGAGATGGCTTTAAAACACTTTTGTTTGTAAAAACCCTGGATAAAAATTTCCCCAGTTGTTCTTTCTAATCTCTCTCTGTCTCCTTCCCTCCTTTCTCTCCTCTTTTGTCTTGCATCTATAATGTAAAATGATTATAGGGCAAAAAATTGAGGACAATATGGACCTGTCATTAGTTTGTGGACTAGTTGTAAGGGATTCTCTAATAATTAATGCAGATAATAAATGTTATGGAGAAGAAGAAAATAAATTATAATTTCAAATTGAAGGGGAGATTTTTATTTTTTAGAACCCCATTTGAAATTATTCAAATTAAAAAATTTTTCCTGATTAAACAAATATACTTTTGTTATATTTTAAACTGTCTTCCTTGCCTGAAAGAGAGTAATATATATATATATATTTATAAAATATATATATAATATATAACTTAGTAATCAAACTTTAAATAGACCCCCTATCACAGTGTGTGTTAGCCATAAGTCAAAGCCATATTATTCCAAGGTTAACTATTCATTTCTGCACTTGTGTAGTTTAGCCACGAGCGTTAAATGGTAAAGGTATGATCCTTTTTGAAAAATTACTTTTTTTCAACAAAGTATCTTACATAAGTGATTAAATATCAAATAAGACTAAATGACATAGTTGAAACAGCTGTCCCCTGCTCCTTCCTTCACTGGCCTTCTGCCCCCACATCATTCTCCAGAAAAACTATTTTAAAGTATTCTAGCTGTTTTATCTGAGATTTACCTCCATGTCTTTAAATAACAAGATCACCCTGCATATTTCTTCGTTGAATGACATAGCTATACCAAAGATGGCAATTTGGAAAGTTTTCTATCATGCACATCTATTTGGCCTATTTTTAGAAAATGATAACTAGCTTTCCTTGGGTGATCTGAAAAATTAATTTATACCTCAGCCTTTTTGAATAGAGATGTAATATAGTTTTACCATTGAACAGACAACCAATCTTTTCTAGGTGTCAATTTAATTTATAGAAATTATTTGTGCCAAGTAGAAAATTAATGATGTCAGAAGGGAAATCCTTTACCTTTATTATGTTTGCTCTATGAAAAACAATAGTGACATGCCAGGAGCTCCTGTGTTGCTAAGCAAAGACGCATCTTGAATGTGAATGCTGCTCTCTAGCCAAACTCATATATCCTTACGTGACTGAATCCTATGATGGTATACACCGTGGAAATGAACTCCTATTTTACGTGGCATCAAGGCTGAATCCCTTCATTGGGTCTTGCTCTCCATCCTCAACCCATGAGATTCCACTGATCCCAATGATGGATGTGCTGATTAAGTTTATTTTTCTTACATCCTCTAAATAATGCTTGTTTTATCTTTATGGTTTTTAAAATGTGCTTCCTAAACTGTGTTTCATTGTATGTTAGTTCCATAATGTGTTGGCTAGAATTCCATGGTCAAATATATTTGAGAAATACTGTATCATATTCCTCTCTAGGAGATTCACAATATGCAATAGCATACTGAAGGCTCTGAAAATTCCTACTGTGTTAAAAAAGGAAGCAAAATAAAAAAGTCTTTTACTCAATTTAAACCAGACTTTCCCCAGCTTGTTTGAGACAGAACACTTGTGCTTTGTAGTACACTTATTAACGGCCTGCAAAATAATGATGAGCAGGAAACTGGTTCTGGGAACATTGTTTTATGCTATTCCTTTGTCTGTAATGTTCACTAAATTTTTTTTTCACCACTTTCTTTTAAAATGCCAATCATCCTACAAAAATTGCATTCTGCTTCCATGGAAAGGTGCATTACATTTGAGTAAGTAGGGAAAGGTGAAGGGCATTGTGAGTAGGGGAATAACCAAATACAACCACGTTATTCATCACACGTTGTCAGTATCTTAGCTTCTTTTATCAACTATATTCTAAGATTCTTGAGAGCAAGGATTGTTTTTTTAAAAAATACTGCAAACCAGACTCAGTACAACTTTCCCAATTATCCTGAATACCAGGTGTAATTCCAGCAGTCACACCACAAAAAGACATAATGCCAATTAAAAAACAGATCTAGTGAAGGATTGAGGACAAGGAGTTACTGTATGAAGTTAGAGTTAGAAACATTAGTCTAAAGGGAAAATCGACTTTTTGTCCAAATCTGGTAATATCAGTCACCGCAAGGAGATCTTATGTGTGATTTGAGCAAAGTAAGTAAAGGAAAAAATGAAAGGAAAACACGACAGAATCACTAGCAGATGGGTGAAGCAGAAAACATAAATGAACATAAAGAGATTTTAGATAGATTTAGAAATAGCATAATGCCTCTTAAGAGAAGCTGAGAATACACTCTTATTTTTTGTTTGTTAAAGAAGAGAACAAGTTTCTTCTATGGGCTAAAAGGACTTCCTAGAATGACAATTTTCCAAACATGTTTCAGATGACTATCGTTTATTGGCTGTGCAAACTTATGCAATTACTTAACTTCTCTGTGCTACAGTTTCTTTGTCTGTAGAAAGGAGAATTATAATCGTGCTGATGTCATGGAATATTATAAAGATTAAGCAGCTCCTGTCTCTTAGAAGGGCATAGTAGAAATTTTTACTATGATTTCTTCTCTATTCCCCATGGTGACTGATAATGGTAGTATTAGTGACTATCATTTGGTGAGTTGTTAACATAAATTTTATTACACACTTACGTTATCTATTTAGTTTTCACAACATGGTTAAGTAAGTATTATCATCTCCATTTTACAGATATAGAAAGAGAAGCTTAGTTAGGTTAAGAAATTTCTCCAAGTTCAGGCAGCTAGTGAATCAAGGTTTGACTCCAGAGTTTAATTCTGAAACCTCTGATTAGTAATCAGGACATGCTCTTCTTTGATTTGCAGCTTCTCATCAGTGGGCTGGGAATGAGTTCCAGGGGTGCTGGGCGTGTTTCAGTTTGCTTCTTTTAGTCCTAGGAGGGAATTGTACTTCAACGCATGACTGTTACAGTGTGAGACACTTTGAAAGGAGAATGGCTGGTCCTCAAAAAAGGCTAGTGAACTGAAGAAAAACACAAATTTGTTTGAAAGATTTTGATTGGAAAGACTTCTGCATTCCCTTCTCCTGATAGTACCCACCATTTACTCCAGACTTCAACCCTGCAAAGCAGCCCGTGCACTTTTATGTCTTGACAGATGTTTTTCCTCCAACACAAATGCCCCTCTATGTTAGATTATTTTCTACCTGTCTGGAACCTACTCCTGCTCATGAGGCAGAGTGGGATTTGTGAAATAAGTATTTCACTTAACAGTGACTCTGTTAGACCTAAAGGGTCCCTCCCAAGTTCATTTATGCTCCCACACATAGTTTGCATACCTGGATTGTGATTCTTACCACTTTGGCTAAAACTGTCCCTGTGATGGTAAGGTGTGCTACAATGCAGACTTTTGAGAGCGCAGGAAGGACCTTCACCTGATTAGTTTTGCCTCCATTGCCTAACATATGGTGTAACATCGTAATCACTCAGTCAGTGTCTTGCATTAATGCAACAAAATCTTTAACTTATTCAAATTGTTGTCCTTAGTGTCAAATCATTCCCTTGGGTTGTGAAGATGGAACATGGGTTTGGACTTCACCTACACTACTTTGGTTGGCAACTTCTCTTTTGATGATGGCATTGTGTTTTTGACAGGAGAAAACTGTGAAAAACTTTTTTAAAGCATGAGAGCTAGGAATTAATCAATCTTGTGTATCTAGATCTAGATCTAAATTTTGCTTGAGACAATTTTTAAAAAATTGATAACTTGATTTTGTTAATGTTGCTCATATATAGCAAAAAAAAAAAGAAGAGTACAAATGCAAGTGATCTGCGAATGATTTGACAATTTTTCAGCATTATAGAGATTGTGTTATTGAAATTCTTCACATTCCAATGGTATCTTACTCAGGCATGGTAAGAAAAACTTTCCTAGACGTTAGCTGCAGCAGGTCTGATTAGGGGAGAATGATTTTTTTACATATTCCAAGACATCTTAAAATATACAAGGTTATTTATCCAGGAAATTATTGTCTGTGAGTGTGATTCTATTTAATGATTTTTATTTATGATCACTTGACCTTATATGAAAGAGAAGACTATTCCAGGGATACCAAGGTGTCCTGAAAGTGATTTAAAGATTTTTGAACTAAAAAAGGTTTTCATTCCAGTAAAAGAATTGTAATCTTGAACTGTCCTGTGGCCTGGTGATATATTTTATCTGTGTCTTTGTTATCATTAGCCTTCCTTAAAATGTTTTTCTAAATTGTTATAACTCCTGTAATTTTAATATTCTTATCAGAGTCAGTGGTGCCACGCAAAAAGTAGCCAAACAAAAGGCTAGACTTGCAGCGTCACCATTCGGATGTCTCACTGTGTTTACAGGAAGCTTAAAAAAATACAGGTTCTGAGATCTGGCAGATTCAAGGGTAGTTTCTTTCCTCTTTATTTTTTCCTCTACTAATTTAACTTGCCCATGAATTATGGCTATTTATTAATTGAGTAAATTTCCCATTATTGGTATATTAGTCATTTAGTCATTTTAATGAAATTTATTCGTCGTATGAGACACTTTGATCAGAATTCCTGTCACCATGGTAACCAGTTATTGGTATTAATAGTGCCAGAATCATAGATTTTATACCCAGAATTGGCCCCTTAATATTACACTATTTTAGGCTTTGAAGTACACTCAGGCCAATGCTTTCTATGTGCGTGTTTCACAGAAACCACAAAAGGTATTACAAATGAATTTATTAAATTGATCATTGATCCTTAGCATTTGCGATAGAGAGGGCATACCATCCCAGACTTCTCAAAGTGTGGTCTGTGGACCTCTGCTTATGAATCCATCCATGAAGTTCTGTTTAAAAGGCAAACTTGGGGACCATAAAGCTGACCTACTGAATTAGATCCTCCAGGAGTCCTAGAAACCGCACATGGTACAAGCAAACCAAGTATAGTCTGCTCACTGTGGGAGATTAAAAAATAATAGTATCTTCACTTATGGAGGTCAACAGATTATCATTAAATCTATTAGTGACTAAATAGATGATTATTTAATGCTTTATTCAAATCCCAATGGTTTCTTAATCATCCACAGAATAGAGACTTTCCTGGACTTTTATTTTGTATTGTGGTTGAAAAACACATATATGACATCTGCCCTCTTAACAATGTTTTAAGTGTATAGTACAGTATTGTTAACTATAAGCACAATGCTGTATGGTAGATTTCAGGAACTTTTTTATTTTGCATGACCAAAACTATACCTATTGAACAGCAACTTTCCATTTGCCCTTCTAGACTTTCTTTGATTTGGTGGAGCATTTCTAATTGAAAAAGAGGAATTCTAGTCATTCAATAGGCACAATGTCACAAATTCAAATTGTCCTTTCAATTCAATGGTCTTAGGCATAAATAAGCATGTTTGTACTTTCCTTGGATTTATTGCTTTTTAACCAATATTATCCAATTGAAAGTTGTGTTTTATGTGGAATAAATCAGAATAAATGACAGAATGTAAAATTTAGTCTAGGAATTAGAAGAGAAACACGTGAGTTTTAAGTTTTTTTTTTCTATTACATAGCAGACTAGACAAGTGATAGAGAAAAAGTTTAACACATAATAGCATCTGATATTTACATATAGCTTCATCTTTTACTGAGGTCATATTTTCATTGCTTCTTTACACTGAGTAGATGAATGGTTATAATCCCTTTGAGGACAATGTCTATGGTTCATATCAGCTTCACATAATTCACTTCATTTCTGTTCAGCCTTTTACAAATGTTACAAATGACACAGCAGCAAACAAATATGGAATGATGATTTGTTAAACATATTCAAGGTACTGCTAGTAAATGAGTAGGTAAAAATAATCTTTACACTGAAGAAACAACAACATTGAAAGAGAGATGATGCTTGCTGAGTTATTTCATTTCTTAGGGTAAAATTAGGATCAAGACTCAAGTTTTTCTGAAACCAAAACAAATCTACACTTAGGGGTTGTGTCTTTTGGAAGGAGATGGAGATAGAGACGTAGAGAGAGAGGAAGAGAAAGAGCGGGAGGAAAAGAGAGACGGCATCCATGAAACAGTGCTTCCTGGGACTGAAGTTCAGATACTTTAAAAGGGACATATTGACCTTTCCCTCCTTTTTTCATGCAAATGAGAGCAGGGGGGCAATGAATGAATTATAAATCCAACAAGTATACAGTACGAACATAGATTTTATGAACCTTTTGAAATTGGAGACTTGGGGGGTCATTGCTTTGTCACTTTTCAGTCACGTAGAATAATCTGCTCTTTTCATTTTAATTTCTTTGGAATCCTCGGCTTTAGAGAAATGTGTGGAGGATTTTGCTAAATTATAAGGGCAGCTCATTTTAAAGGTTAAAGGATGCAATGCAATTAGCCTCTAAATTCAGACCTGATTATTGAAGTCAGATTATCCTTTGGTTTAGAACAATGTAACCAGACATTTTAATGCACAAATGTGTCCACTAGTGGACAATTAGAGTTGTCAGTTTAAGTAGTCAATTGAAGAGACAGGTTAAACTGAAATTGGTAGTGTCTCTGTGACTTTGTGCATAGAAACATTTCTCTGGAAATAAAATCGTGAGGTTTGAATTGGTGAGGGAAGTAGCAGAGTCTAATCATGGCTAAAGTACCAATGTCTACACTCTTTTCATATATATCACAAACAACTGACCCATGAAAGGACAGATACTGGATGGATAGTCTAAAAAGGCAGCAGTAATTGGTACTCAGGTAACCAAGAGGATCAAGCAATTTTTGTAGCCTATAATATGTTTTTGAAATAGAGTTCTGATTGGGGAGAAAGAAGGATAAAAGAAAACACTGTTTTCTTCACCTTTACCTCTCTCTCATTTTATGTGCAGGTACATGAAATTTGCAAGAATTCTGTTTCTCACATGAGCATGCAAATAGCATCTTCTTATCTGATGGCTAATTAGTCATTTTTAATGATCTTTATTCACTCTGACACACTTTTTCCAAAGTGCCTGCCACTATGGCAACCAGTTATTTAGAAAGCACATTAGGCTAAAAACAAACATTTGTATGGGGGAGAAACTGCTTTTTCCATTTAAATTTGTATTTAATTGAGTGAGTGATAATGCGAGGTGAAATGAAAGATAATTAACCCATGCTATCAAGAGTTTCTCAGAGTAAAAACCTGAGCGAAGCATTCCTAGTCCAATCTCAGCCTGCAAATAGCAGCTAGGGACATGTGAATTCCAAGACAAGCAAGAGAACAAAGGCAGGGACTTTAAATGGGTGTGGCCAGCTAATTTTGGGAAGAAAAGAACATCAACACTTCCGTCTAGATTCAGTGCTGAACACTGGCTGTAATATCTTCTCTTCTTCTTAAGTCAGAATTATTCTTAGTAATTAGATGTCATGATATCATTTAATTTTACACTTTGGCTTGTCTGTAAGGAATTTTGTATGTTTTGAAGAAAGGCAAATGTAAAAATGGTTATAAAGGAACAATTGTTAAAAATGAGTAGATTCATTAATTATACTATAAATAGTTGCCACACTAATGCATGAATTTAGTCTCCTTTCCCTTTTCATAAAATATTTTACTTTGCTCCTTTGCAACCTTTTTCTGTAACAATTCCTTGCAGAGTATTTCTATTACCACATATAAAGTTAAGTCCAAAAGAATATTAATGAAGTTAAACTAGATAAAAGCAACTGCTAGCCAGTAACTAATTAAGACTTTGCCTTAATTGAAATGTATAGTATATAGTATCATTTCATTGCTAAACTTGTGAATATGGATTGGGTGACATTTTCACTTATTTCTGTCCTTTACTTTCCCTCCTACATGAGAGCCTAGTAAATGTTTATGTAAATTGCAAGATATTATTTACTTCAGTTCTTATTTGAAATTAATTTATAGACTAACAACTCAATATGATGAAATGAATGCTATTTTTTTCCATAAATTATTTACTTACCTATAAGGAGATCAGAAATCTATCAGAGGAGAAAATTGACTACCCTTAACCATTTCTCATGACTTAGTCTGTACATGTTAGGTATCATTTTGTCAAAAGATGAAGTTTCATGAAATGAGAAAATAGATACATGAAGCCATGGGCTACCAGTTTGTACACTGAGGTGCTCCGATGAAATGATATTGTTATGAAACTCTAACCATCTAGACAAGAAAGATAAATTTTGAGTGGTTGACTATTATACTTCACTGAAATTGAGTCAGATGGACTTTTCTTTGTTGTTGTTGTTGTTTTCAATTTTGTTGCTAGAGTCTCACATCAAATGTAAATTTTAATTACATTCTTTTGTGAGACTCCTGGGGCAATGAATCATAATTCTGAACAATAATTTTCATTGTATAATGCTAGAGATGTAAATAAATAATGAAGAGGAATGAGGTAAATGTGCTCTGAGTCCTGGACCAGAAATTCCCAAACTCTGTGGCAGCCACACATTCCGGAGGCATGGCTGATTCAATAAACAGTTTGTCTTTCTGAAATATATCCCACGTTTCAAGTATATGCACTTCTCTAATGGATAATGAATTATATATTCATTTGTAAGTGCTACATGTGGTCATGGCGTTTTCTTTTTTTTTTAGAAAACCTAGTTAAAAGTAAATTACTATAACGTAGTGAGAAGAACAGGCAGTAGTATTTTAAATTGATGATAAACTAATGTTTAGTGACTGTTAATTACACATTAGATACTTTTCTAAATACTTGTGTTTTCTCATTTAAATTCTCATTGACATTATGGCATAGGTAGTTTCACTTCCATTTTACAATTAGAGAAAATGAGAGAGAGAAATGAATTATCTAGTCCAAGTTCATATAGACAGGTATTGGTAATTAAGGAGATGTTAAAAAAAATTTCTTCCTGCTAATCAATATCGTGAAAATGGCCATATGGCCCCAGGTAATTTATAGATTCAATGCCGTCCCCATCAAGCTACTAATGACTTTCTTTACAGAATTGGAAAAAACCACTTTAAAGTTCATATGGAACCAAAAAAGAGCCCACATTGCCAAGACAATCCTAAGGCAAAGGAACAAAGCTGGAGGCATCACGCTACCTGACTTCACACTATACTACAAGGCTACAGTAACCAAAACAGCATGGTACTGGTACCAAAACAGATATATAGACCAATGGAACAGAACAGAGGCCTCAGAAGTAATACCACGCATCTACAACCATCTGATCTTTGACAAATCTGACAAAAACAAGAAATGGGGAAAGGATTCCTTATTTAATAAATGGTGCTGGGAAAACTGGCTAGCCATATATAGAAGCTGAAACTGGATCCCTTCCTTACACCTTATACAAAAATTAACTCAAGATGAGTTAAAGACTTAAATGTTAGAACTAAAACCATAAAAACCCTGGAAGAAAACCTAGGCAATACCATTCAGGACATAGGCATGGGCAAGGACTTCATGACTAAAACACCAAAAGCAATGGCAACAAAAGCCAAAATTGACAAATGGGATCTAATTAAACTAAAGAGCTTCTGCACAGCAAAAGAAACTATCATCAGAGTGAACAGGCAACCTACAGAATGGGAGAAAATTTTTGCAATCTACCCATCTGACAAAGGGCTAATATCCAGAATCTACAAAGAACTCAAACACATTTACAAGAAAAAAACAACCCCATCAAAAAGTGGGTGAAGGATATGAACAGACACTTCTCAAAAGAAGACATCTATGCAGCCAACAGACACATGAAAAAATGCTCATCATCACTGGTCATCAGAGAAATGCAAATCAAAGCCACAATGAGATACCATCTCATGCCAGTTAGAATGGCGATCATTAAAAAGTCAGGAAACAACAGGTGCTGGAGAGGATGTGGAGAAATAGGAACACTTTTACACGGTTGGTGGGAGTATAAATTAGTTCAACCATTGTGGAAGTCAGTGTGGTGATCCCTCAAGGATCTAGTGCTAGAAATACATTTGACCCAGCAATCCCTTTACTGGGTATACACCCAAAGGATTATAAGTCATGCTACTATAAAGACATATGCACATGTATGTTTATTGTGGCACTATTAACAATAGCAAAGACTTGAAACCAACCTAAATGTCCATCAATGATAGACTGGGTTAAGAAAATGTGGCACATATACACCATGGAATACTATGCAGCCATAAAAAATGATGAGTTCATGTCCTTTGTAGGAACATGGATGAAGCTGGAAACCATCATTCTCAGCAAACTATCGCAAGGACAAAAAACCAAACACCTTGTGTTCTCACTCATAGTTGGGAATTGAACAATGAGATCACTTGGACACAGGGCGGGGAACATCAGACACTGGGGCCTGTCAGGGGATGGGGGTCTGGGGGAGGGATAGCATTAGGAGAAATACCTAATGTAAATGATGGGTTGATGGGTGCAGCAAACCAACATGGCACATGTATACCTATGTATCAAACCCACACGTTGTGCACATGTACCCTAGAACTTAAAGTATAATAATAATAAAAAAAAATTTGACACTCAGAAGAAGAAATTTCTTCCTACTTGAAAAATTTGGGACCCATTTCTCTAGATGACAGCATTAGTGAAAAAAAAAATCCCTAGGAGACTTTGTTTTGGTCAATTGTCAGCTGCTCATGTTTGAGGAGATAGTAAATCTGGTGGATAATATGGAAAAATTGGTCTCAAGTTAGCTGTGGTTTATTCCAAGTTGGTATGACAGAGAGGTCTGTTTATTGGTCTGTGATAATCAGAAGATGCATGTCGATGGGCAATATAACTGTGTCACAGGGAGTGTGTCTGCTTAGTATTCCTTGGGAATAGCTGCTTTTAGCCTTTTTTGAGGTTTTCAGCACTGTAGCAGCCATAGTCCCTGGGGTCTCTGCAGAATCCAGGCACTTGTTTGCCAGGCAGACCTGAAATAACTGTTATTTATTTATAGCCTCTGGCACTGTCTGAAACATTCTGCAACACAACTAGGTTAACAACTTCAAGTTAATGTAAACACTCCAAAAATGAAAGCACCACTGCTGAACTGCAAATATGGCCAGGCAAAGAAGAGGAATGGGAAAAGGTGAAGGCACAGGCTACACACAGACTCCAGAGTCCCTGGGACATTCTCTTAGGGGGAGTTTGCAACAGATGGGTTGTTGGTGGTGACTGTTGGATGCTATGAGGGTGTCCACTGTAGTCTTGTGGCTCTCACCATTTGGATATAGCAATTATAGGTGAAGGGAGTGGGACTAAGAGACAAAATTTTATGACAGAATATTCTACTCAAAATTTTGAGCCACTGCTTAACATTCTGCAACTCACGCAATGTAAATACCAGTCCTTGCAAATGGACTTCATCATCAGCTATCATCTGAGCTATACATTCTTTTATTGATTGATTGATTGATTGGTTGAGGCAGGATCTCACTCTGTTACCCAGACTGGAGTGCAGTGGCATGATCTTGGCTCACCACAACCTCCGCCTCTCAGGCTCAAGCGATTCTCCTCCCTCAGCCTCTTGAGTTGCTGGGATTACAGGCATGAGTCACTACTGCCCAGATAATCTTTTTTTTTGTATTTTCAGTAGAGACAGGGTTTCAGCACTCTATTATTTTTATTTTATTTTTATTTTTTTGAGACAGGGTCTTGCTCTGTCACCCAGGCTGAAGTGCAGTGGCATGATCATATCTCACTGCAGCTTTGAACTCCTGAGCTCATGAAATCCTCCTGCATCAGCCTTCTGAGTAGCTGGGACTACAGGCATACACCATCATGCCAGGCTAATTTTTTAATTTTTTTGCAGAGACCAGGTCTCCCTATGTTGTCCAGGCTGGTGTCCTCAAGCAGTCCTCCTGCCTCAGCCTGCCAAAATCCTAGGATTACAGGATTACAGGCATGAGCAACCATGTCTGGCTGACAATCCATTCTTTACTTAGGCCATTTCAGCTACAGGACCACTTGATGTTCCTTGAACATGCCTAGCATGTTTTCACCTGGGTACTTTACTTACTGTCCCCTTTGCCTGATATTGGCATGGCTCACTCCCTTATTTATTTCAGATGTTTGCTCAGATGTCACCTTGTCAAAGAAGTACTTCTAACCACCTGTTCCACTTATCTATTTCTACATATGAAACTTTTCCCAAACACAGTAGCTTAAAATAACAACCATTTTTATTTTAGATCACAATTTGGGTTAGGGCTTTGCTAGGTGAATTTTTTTTTTTTGAGATGGAGTCTTGCTGTGTCACCCAGGCTGGAGTGCAGTGGCGTGATCTCTGCTCACTGCAGCCTCCACCTCAGGGGTTTTAGTGACTCTCCTGTCTCAGCCTCCCGAGTAGCTGGGATTACAAGCACATGCCACCATGCCTGGCTAATTTTTGTATTTTTTTTTTTTTTTGTATTTCACCATGTTGGCCAGGCTGGTCTCAAATTCCTGACCTCAGGTGATCTGCCCATCTTGTCCTCCCAAAGTGCTGGGATTACAGGCATGAGCCACCTTGACCTACCTAGGTGAATCTTCTATTGCAAAGCATCGGGCAGCAGGTACTTAGTGTTATTCAGTGGTGGATGAGCTCCAAGGGAAGCACCACTCCCATGCCTGGCACCATAGCAGGGATGAACGGAAGGCTGGCCTCAGCTTTGATTGTCTTACAGTGTATTTATTGTCTGTTGCAAACTACTCCCCCAAATGAGTAGCTTAGTATGACAAAAATTATTATCTCACAGTTTCTGTTGGTCAAGAATCCAGGTCTCTCAGCTAGATCCTCTGGCTCAGCAGCTCTCACAAGGCTGCAATCAAGGTGTTTGCTGAGGTTGCAGTCATCTCAAGTCTTGGCTTAGAAAGGACCAACTTCCAAACTTACTCATGTTGCCGTCAGCAGGTCTTATGTCCTTGGTGGTTGTTGGCTGGAGACATTAGTTTCTTGTCACGTGGGCCTCTTGATGGGTTTACCAACAACATGGCATCTTGCATTCCCCAGAGTGAGGGATCTTAGGGAGAAGGAAAGAGAAAGAGAGAGAGGGGGACAGAGAGAGGCCAAGCAAGACAGAAAATACAGTTTTTTTGTAACGTATGCTTGGAAGTGATATTCCAATACATAGGTGGTATTCTCTGCATTAGAATAAAATCACTAGGTCCAGCCCATACTCAAGCAGAAGAGGCTACACAGTATATGAATATCAGAGAGGGCGGGTCATTGGGAGCCATTTTAGATGCTGCCTATCACAACCAATGTGTCTGTCTACACGTGACACCTCCAGCTTGGTGCTCTCAGGGGTCCCGGGGAGAGTATTCCAGGAGAACTTCCTTTAGCAGAAGTTGCAAGAATTCTTATGTTCTAGCTTCAGAAGTCTCAGAACATCACTTTCACTGCATCCTATCGGTCAACTTAAAACTCACTAGGAGCAGCCAGATTCAAGGGGAAGGGAATCAGATTCAACCTGTCAATGTAAGGAGTGTCGAAGAGTTTGCCATCATCCTTCATTTACCACACTGTTCTACATAATATCATATGCCTCCCCCGACTACGCACCAATTGTTTCCCTTACATCACCTTTTTATTACAGCCCATATATTCTTAAAAATTTGTTTATATCTAACAACTAGAAAGCGAGCTCCCTGAAGTCAGAAAAATCTGCTTTTTTGTTTTCCTCCCACTGTTCTAATCCCCAGGATTTAGAGCAGTGCCTGACACAGAATATGTTTTTAATAAATACTTAGTACAATTATTTGGGCTTTTGTCAGGCCTTTCATGATCTAGACCCTGTGGACTTTGCCAACCCTTTTCTCTAGGTCAATATTGTCTGGCTCCATTGACCTTTTTTGTTGTCATTCTTCCTAAAACATGTGAAGTTTTTTCCTCTTTTAAATTCTCACAGTGTTTGCCTCAGCTGTCCCAATTTTTACTTGATTTTGGAAGGACGGGATGCTTTTTATTACTTAGGTATAAGTTTAAATGGGACACCTCAGGAAGTGCTATATTAGGTGTCTGGCCATTTTCCATCTTTTCTCTAGTTTTATTTTCTTCGTAGCACTTAACAACTAACTAATAGTTTCTGGTATATCTGCCCCCTTTGTTTTTTTGCCCCACTGAAAAATAAATTCTGTGAATTTAGGGGCCTTGGCTGTCATGTTGAAAGCTCTATCCTTTAGCACCCAAAACAGTATCTGACTCATTGTAGGCCCTCGATCTATTTTTGTTGAATGAAACAAATATATTGATAATCAGTGCTTTAAAATTCTGGCTTTCTTAACATTTCTTTTTCTCACACAATTTAGTTAAAATCCAATGCCTATAAGTCTCCTTTTTGTCATCACCCCCCACCCATTTATTGCTGTAGTCATGAAATCACTGAATGTCATTACACCTCTTTTATTAATGACAGTAAAATACCTACTCAAGATGAGCTTAATGGCCTGGAAGTAATGGCAAGAGTATGCAAACCAGAGGGCTGCCAGTTGGTCAACAGGGCTGGTATATTATTACAGAGAGCCTTATCCCCACAGCAGTAAATCAGGTTCTGCACTTGCTTGTAGCCCCGTCATGTGAGTTGAGAATTAAAGGTTGGGAGAGTTTGAAGAAAACACCTGAAGACTAAAATCCTTTTAAAAGGTGTATATGTGAATTGGTAGAAGGTAAAATAAAGAGAAACATTTAGTGTACATAGACTACAATTAGACCCTCCCAAATTTTCAAAAGATAGAGACATCTTCTTGATTTAAATTGTTCTAAGAAAACATTTTTGCTATTTTAAGTATGTAAGGGAAGAGAGGAGTGTTTTTAAGTTTTTATAGTTGATGACTTTATGGTAGCACAAACAAAAACTCCTTTGTATCTGACTTTTCTCAATCCCCACTTCAGGTGCTTTACTAATGGGAATGATTTCTATATGTTCCCTTGGTACCAAGAGGCACTATGCAAAGTAACCTATGACACCAAGTTACTTGCTTGCTAAAAAATAAAATCAAATCCATGTCTTTGTTTGTCCCTTTTTATTCCTCAGCTACAAAGCCATTTTTGGGGGGAAGACAATACAGATATCAAAATATTATTCCTTCTGTCACCCCAAGGCATAGGAAAAAGTGATGACATCAGCATCTTTGGAAAATTCTTGATTCCCTGGATAATCTTGTTCAAATGACTGTGGGAGAACTGGTCAGGTAAAAGAGATTCAGCAAAGGCTCATGTCTGTTAGTCACTGGCAATGTAGGAAACATGACCACTTTGACCTAGTTTGTTTTAGACAGTTATATCCCCCTTGACGGATCCAAATGCCTTTTTAAGCATACCTCATTTCTAGTACCACTATTAGCCAGAAAACCATGCATGTTGAAAAATAACTTTAAGTCAGGTCTAATTTTTCAAAAAAAGAAAAGATTAAATGATTGAAGAATCTAATGGATCAAAAGAAGATAGTTCATGAATTCCAGCCTCAGATCACTGGATTCTGTCCAGCTGCCTCCTTTCTCCAATTGGGATTGTAGAATATTTAATGAGAGAGCTGTCTGAACTGGGAGCTTGTCTAGTGCTACATCTTTACAATGACAAGTAATTATATATATATGTGTGTGTGTATGTATATATATACATATGCATAACTCATATATATGTATTGATTTATATACATATTTGGAGAAATCAATCATGTATTTTATTAGCATAATAACCAATATCATAGGGTTTATTGAGTGATGAACATAGCCTTGAACCTTACTGATATGAATATGAAGTTGAACACATTGGCAGTTCATACAGGTAAACATGTTTTGACTTAGGGTATATTTTAGTGGGTAAATAGTGTCAGAACTTATTGACTAGAATTGCATTTAGAAGGTAGCCTTGTGCTTTGTTAAGAATAGCTTTTTCATCCTTTTCAAGGAGGTAGTAAATCTTTCACTCTCCTGATCTTTCTCATTTCTAAATTCCAATCTTCTGCCTAAATTTTCCTTCAAAGTCTGTGTGAAAGTGACAAATTGTAGGATGGCTCTTAGAAGGCAATAAGATTGTGGCAGAAAAATCATTGAACCAGCAGGTAAAAGTCTTTTTTTTTTTTTTTTTTTGGTATGTTTCCCAGCTTTATCTTTTGATGACTTTTGGCAACTCATTTAAGTAATCTTTTTTTCTTTCACATTAATACATTTTAAAAATTACTGTGAGGTTAAAAGAAAAGTTATGTGAGAACATGTTTTAAAAAATATGTAATTCCACAGGAAAATAGGTATTATTATTTTGTCCGTGTGTGTTTATGTACATGTAGTGTCTGCTTATAGATGCAGCTACAAGTGCTCTTGGAGACAGAAATAAGATGCTAAATTTAAAAATACCATCCTTTCCATAATGGAACTTACCATATATATGACTAACTGTTCCATATGACCCAGTGTTTTAAGTGCTATATTCAAGGTAAAAATAAAACCTTGAAGAGGAGAGCAGATCAATCTGGGCTGCTTGGAGGTAGTAAAATATATTTTCTGAGTGGAGTTGGCAGTAAGTAATTATGTTCAGATTAAGGGGGGCAGTGTAAATAATGGAATAATAATGATCTTTTACCAGATCATAAACTTGTAAAGGAAGGGTCCAAGGTGTAAGGTTGTATTTCAATGTCTGGAAAATAGTAGATACTTTACAAATGGTTGGGAATGAATGAATGAGAGTGTAATTAAGGAACAATGAATATTTTGATGTATTTAGATAAAGCTGGAAAGGAAGATGGGTATGATGTCGTGTCTTCTGAATAATCTAGGCTTCCTTTTCTTCCTCTCTTTTTGATTAAGACATTTTTATAATGCTTGTAATGGTGAACTGATGGTAATAATTCCCACAAACATTTGAAGCATTTTCTATTTTCTCCATTTCACAAGTCAGGGTAATAAGAGTTAGGTTAAGTAATTGGCCTGAGGCCATAATGCTAGTAGTGGCAGGGCTTTCATGTAAGAGGAGACACAGGCAGAAGCCTGCAGTAATTCATTCCTTTATGTTACTTTCACTCTGAAGGGCTTTTAGATCTTGAATCTAAGTCTTGCAGATGATCTTGCGGGGTTATCTATTAAGTGAGTGAACTACTGTATTTAAAAACATTGGCAACACAGAATTCCTCTGAATCACAAAAAATGACTGCATTTGGAATGTCAGATGTTCAGGGGCTCCAATTTAATATTTATCACTATCCTTCCATTTATATTTTAAAGATAAAGGAAAAAAAGTGTTTCTTGATGTAATCTTGGACCACCATGTTGTCTTTAATGACCTTACTTTAAAATCTCACAAAATGAGGAGAAGTAAGATGCTCCATGACAGATTAAAATCCCTATTCTTTCAAGCCAGTGGTACATTTTAGAAGAGTAAAGGAAGCATCCCCCTGCTGCTGTCTTATTGATAATCCACCAAAATAGAATGCTGTCAGCATCTGTGTATCTGCTCATTTCATAATCAACACTATCACCTTCATCATAGTCCTAACAAGAGTTTACTTAGGGCTTTATTCTGTAACAGATACCCTGCTAAGCACTTTAAATGCATTATATGGTTATGTGTGCACAACAGCCTATGAGGTTACAGAATCTGGGAGGAGACTCGGACTTACACAAGCATACTCTGTAGGTTAGATTGTGATAGTGAGTTAATTAGTCAGGTGGATGCTGAGAGACAGCAAGACCAGACGCAATACATTTTAGCAAAGCTTCCCACGTTTCCCAGAGTCCCTAACTGGGGATCTATGTTCATAATGGTCTGTCTAACCAAAGATAAAGAGAATATTTACAAAATAGCTAAGAAAAATATACACATTACTTTCAGAAGTATAACAACAAGAGTGATGAATGGATAGTCAGCACAAATGAAGTAAGCCAGAAGACATTAACATTTGTCTCTAAATTGATGGCAAGAAATAATATACAACCTCAAAAACTCAATGTGAAGAAAATAACAATATCAGGACTGAAAAAGGAACTCATTGTCGGGAGATTCACAGTAGAAGAAAAATTTAGGGGTGTTCTTCAGGCAGAAGGAAAATAATTCCTAATAAAAATATAAAATTTAGAAAGTAATGAAGAACAATGAAAGTAAATATGTGGGTAAACCTAAATGTATATTCACTTAAAAATAATAAATATAATGAATTAAAATAAATTAGAATTATACAAAATTTTGGAGAGGAGTTAATATATTTACAGTGTTCTAAAACCCTTGCATTGTCCTGGTAATTGCAAAAGTACTCATTTATAGCAGAACTTAAGAGTCAACTATGGTAGTATAATCTTTAGGGTAACATTTACAAATAATAAAATAAGGTATAACTAACAAGGAAATCATGAGTGAAAATAAAACTAAATATTGTTGGTTACTTCAAAAGGCAAGAGAGGAGGCAAAATGAATAAAAAAACAGATGGGACCTTTAGAAAACAAAAAACAAGGTAGTAGATAAACCGAAATATATTAATAGTCACATTAAATGTAAATGAACTAAAAAACCCAAGTAAAACAAGTATTCTTAGTCTAGATGTAAAAAAAAAAACCTGAATATATACTTTTTATAAGGGATATAGCATAAAAATAATAACAGAGAAATACTGAAAGGATTAAAAATCAGACAGAAGAGGTAAATACTATATCTGACAATACTTGCATATTTATACGAACATCAGGAAAGTAGATCATGAGAAAAAGAATATGGCTGGCTGTGCACAGGCATTTCATAATGATAAATGGATAAATTTACTATGAAAATGTAACAATTCTATTTATATAAAATAACATAAGTAAATAAAGCAAACCTAATGAACCTAATATTAAAAAATAGTTAACTTTATAAGTTGTATTTGAAGATTTTAATGAACCTTTCTTACCTGATATAATAGACAAAAAATTAGCAGACACATAGAAAACTTTAGCAACTCACATGACCTAATTGACACATGTAGAACACTGTGTCAACATCTGTATTTCAAATGCACATAAAATAGACCATATGTTGGATCCTAAAGCAAATCTTTAAGTTCCAAACATTGGAGTCATACACAGTGTGCTCTCCTCCAGAGTGAAATTAGTGGGAGATCAATAACAAAAAGCTATCTTTGATAATATAGCTTACACTTCTAAATAATTCATGGGTCAAAGAAGAAATAAAAGCAAAATTTGGAAAACATTTAAACTAAATCATAAAAATACCATTTACTCAAACATGTGGGGTGTGGCTACAGTCATAATTACAGGGAAATGTACTGCCTTAAAATGTGTATATTAAAAAAGAAAAAGACCTAAAAAGGCAATGATTTTATTATCCAATTTAATAGCAAAACTAGAGAAACAACAAATGATGTGTGTTACACAGAAAACAAAATGTTGTGAGAAATTAAAGACTTCAATAAATGGAGGGTTATACCATATTGATGGAATAAAAGACAGTATTGCAAAAATGTCAATTTCTATCAAAATAATTTAGGAGTGCAATGCAATTTCAGTGAAAATATCCATAAGTTATATTTTCTTGTGGAAATTGATAAGTGATTCTTAGGTATATGTGGAAATGCAAAAGACTAAAATAGCCAAAGAGTTATCGAATACAAAGAACAAAATTCGAGGGCTTATTCCATCAGATATTAAGACTTGTGAAACTACAGTAATTAAGGCATGTGTTATTGACACAAGGATAGACAAATAGAATAGAGTCTAGTAATAGATCCATGCATAAAGGATCAATTGAGTTATTAAAAAGATGTCACTGCAGTGCACTGAGGATGAGTGTTCTTTTCAATAAGCAGTGCTGGATCAATAGGAAGTCTAACTGGAAAATAGTAATTCTGATTCCTCATTGGCACCATATAAAAATAAATTTGGATGGTGGACCCCGTTTGAAAGGCAAAATAATAAAGATTTTAGAAAATAGCATAGTTCACTTTTTGAACTTCAGAGAAGAAAAAAATTCGTAAAGAAAACATAGAACACACTAACCATGCAGAAAAATAAGGAATTATTGATGAACTGAATTTCTGTAAAATTATTAAGAGCTGCTTAAGGACTCAAGAGAGTGAAAAAGCAAACCACAGGCTATAAATAATTTGCGATATGAATATCTCACAGAAGACTTACATCTGCTATGTAAAGAGAGCTCTTTAAATTAAAAAAAAAAAAAACCAAGAAGATGAATAAATTTAATAATGGCCAAATGACTTCAATGGCTATGTCACCAGTGGCCAATAAATATGAAAGTGCATTTAACTTTATTAGTCACCAGGGAAGTAGGAAATTATAATTACAACACAAAACCACTTTATACCCACTAGATTGCTAAAACTGCCCAGTGCTGCAGAGAGTGAGAAGCAGTTCGAACCCTCATATATTGGTGGAAGGTATGTAACTTGGTATAACCATTTTGGAAAACTCATCTAGCAATTCCACAACTTGGTCTAATCCTATGAGAAATGCATATGCATGTTTACCAAGACATATGTAAAAATGATCATAAAAGCACCCTTGGTAATCTCCTAAACCAGTGGTCTACAACCTTTTTGGCACCAGGGACCAGTTTTATGGAAGACAATTTTTCCATGGATGGGGTGAGGTGGGAAGTGGGGGCTGGGAGGATGGTTTCGGGATGAAACTGTTCCACCTCAGATCATCATGCGTTAGTTAGATTCTCATAAGGAGCGCACAACCTAGATCCCTCTCATGCCCAGTTCACAATAAGGTTTGCATGCCTATGAGAGTCTGTTGCCACTACAGGAGGCAGAGCACAGGTGGTAATGCTCACTTGCCTGTCACTCACCTGCTGTGTGTCCAGGTACCAGTCCATGGCCCAGGGGCTGAGGACCCAGTCCCAAATGACAAAGATCCCAAGTGTTCATCAACAGTGAAATAACTTGTGACATACTTATCAAATGTACTTATGTATCACAATGACAATGAATAAAATACCCCTACATGCAGCAGTATAGATGATATCAAACATAATGTTGTGTGAATAAAGCAGTCACAAAAGAGTAAATACTATATGAGTCTACTTACATACATTCAAGTAAGATGTATAGTAATCTTCGGTGCTAGATTTGGAATAGTGGTTCACTTGCGGGAGGAAATGGGAAGCAGCATAAGGGAGCTTCTGGGGTGACAGCAACTTTTTTATTTTTCAGTCTGGGAGGGGGTTATGTGGTCATTTTACAAACATTCCTCAAACTATACATGTACGATTTATGTGCTTTTTGTATTTATTATATATCAATAAAAATCTAAAAGCTGTAAGAATTTTAAAAGTCTTTTGGAGAAAGCTAAAGGAAAAAGCTTAATTAAGAATCAAACTTTCTAAATTGCATAAGATATGATGAGGTTTCCATTTAATGGATGCGTTGGTTCAGTGGCCTCCCTGTTCCATTATCATATGGCCTTTCTGACCCTACCTTGGTGACCCTTGCAGAGGTGACTTAATCTTCTTAAGCAGTTTCTTTAAATACAGATTTTACTTCTATATTTAAATCAACTGTGCTGAACAAAAGAGATGGATTAATTGATGCTTTAAAATCCTATGAAAATGCTAAATCCCAGCAAATGAAATCTACATCTTAAACAATCAATTTTCGCAAGAGAATGTATAAGCTCAGGAAGAAACAGACTGGGAAATTCAGCTGGTGTTCTGTATAAATACAATTTTAAAATACCTCCAGTTTCTTCATGCTATGCCATCTGCCGAATGGCTCTTGGAATGGAATTTTAATCTCTAATTGCAAATGCAGGGATTAAAAAGGTTACATTCCAAATGTGCTAGGAGACCAACTAACAATTCAGAAAGGGGAAAAAGTCTGTATCTGCAGGTTTTGCTGGCATAGATGTTTTCTGGAAATGATAACCTGACACAAGGTCTTTCACAGTCAGAAGTGGAAAAGGAAAATAATCTGCCTTGATTGGGTCTGAACTGTCTGGACCTTGTTAAACTCCAGCTGCTTTTGACTACGGAATCAGAGCAAGAGTGGACAACTTCACTCTTTCAATTTCTTAGAAATTAGAGCATCATTTTACCTGTCACTGAAACAATTAGAGCAAAGTAAAAAGCATATGCCATACTTTTTGCTTGGGGGATACCCAGGGTAGATTCAGTTAAATGAAGACATTGAAAAGAGTCACAATTGAAGATGGTAAATTCTATGCAAAAATATAAAATCTACAAACAAAATTACAAACTGATACCCATGCTTCTAAGTTGAGTAGAAATTTATAAAAAGGTTTTATCTTAATTTTTAGTTTGACGTGTAGACATAGTCATCATGTCTCTTTCCTTCTGAACTTTCTTTCTTCCTGCTCCTTCCCCCAGGCCTTCTGCTCCTCTGTAGATGATACATTAAAATGTGCACACCGTGCTTGTACCCTCTCCTGTGGGTACTTTGCCTGTACTGTATCTCTTACTTGGACTGGCAAGCCAAATCATTTTCTATGATGTCTTTGACAAGGTGGAGGGTCATTATGAAATAGGATTGTACATACTTCTGTACTCTTTAACACAGAAACTTGAACTTGATTTTATTGTTCTTCAGTTGATTTACATGTAAATCTTTGGTCTGCTCAACTCCAGATCACAGCCCATGACTTCTTGTTTAATTTTCCCTAATAAAAGAGAGATTACAGGAGAATTATAAAATAAATGCCTTTTAAAAATTCTACAAAAAGGCGATTTAAAAATTATAATATGTAACATTGTTTTTGTAATATAAAATATTTCTATAATACCTTGTTTTTTTCCTTTTTTTGAGACAGAGTCTCGCTCTGTCTCCAGGCTGGAGTGCAGTGGGGTGATCTCAGCTCACTGCAACCTCCGCCTCCTATGTTCAAGCGATTCTCCTGCCTCAGCCTCCTGAGTAGCTGGGACTACAGGCCTGCACCACCACCCCCAGCTAATTTTTGTATTTTGAGTAGAGATGGGGTTTCACCATGTTGGCCAGGATGGTCTCTATCTCTTGACCTCACGATCCACCTGCCTCGGCCTCCCAAAGTGCTGGGATTACAGATGTGAGCCACCGTGCCTGGCCTATAATACGTTTTATTCACACATGTTTCATATGACTTTGAATAGGCCATGCCTGTATATACATAAACAAATAGTTGTCCTATAATGAATTTTGCAGTCTAAAAAAACTCCTAATATTTGTCTTCCTTCATTTCTTCATCTCTAAAATGACCCAGAACACCCAATGAAATTAATGTTAGATATGATCAAACAGCTGAAATGGGAAAATATTATATCTGCCAGAAGTTCATGCTAGGACAACTGTGGTGAATGTACGTAATCTTGTCTCTGAATATTGGCTGTGGTACGGATAAGTTACTGAAACTTAACCAAAAATTCTTCTTGCTTATGGAGCAATGGAGGAAAAATGAACTTCCAAAGTATGTACAAGGTAAATATTCCCTTAACATATCATTAGCAACTCAAAATAGAGACAGACAATGTAACGATGTAACAATCAAGGATTGAATGCTATGTTAGTTTTACCCATCCACAAGAGTAGACTCCCGTTCAGGAATATCATCTCACTTTTGAAATCTAAATATTATTTAAAACTAAATGAAGAATTCTTCTATAAATCTAATTTGAGGCAAGGAAAACAATGTGACAAAGAAGCTGTGAATTTGATAGTGAGATGGTCCACTGCTTTCTTAAGTGACTTCGTTGTTTTTTTTAAAAGGCAAAAACCCTCCCCCAAATCCATAACCTTACTCTCTAAGCCTTTCAATCTCCACCCTTTCCAACCTTCATAATTCTGCCATTGTTTATGCTTGAAAGAGAATAAATAAATTAAAAAAGCATTTCAAAACTTGACAGTCTCCAGTCTAACAAGATGGTGACAGAGACGTCACTCGAATTTCAATAAAAGCCCTCGCTCTTCAAAGCAGCATCATTTCTGCAAAATAAAACAAGTCTTAATGATCACCGAGAACATCTGCTTGGGCAAGAGAGACTTCTCAATGCTTGAGATCCTGAACTTCCATCTCTTCTGCCTCCAACTAGGTCCCCTGTTCTGCCTTTTGTTCTTCTAGCATTTCCTCTGCAGACACCTGTTGCAGGGATATGTTGCCCTCCTTTTCCAGGTCAGTTTTTCTTCATAGACCACAGTTTGCTCCTTGGATGACAAAAATATACCCAGGGAGATCACCATATTTTTTTGCCAAGATGAATAAACTTAGTTTAATGTAGCACTAAGTTAACAAAATAATCGCTGCTTCCTAAAGGATCTTTTGAGTGTCTTACTGTCTCAATCGAAGAGTGTGTAAACTTTATTGTGAGCTGGCTCAAAGGGTGAATGGTGACGAGTGGACAACAGACCCCCAAATTCTATGTCTCCTTGTGTCCATGGCAGTCATTTCCTCACATGACCTACCATTTTCTGTTTTCTTAAAACAGACTTCATGAAACCATAAAACTTTCATGCATAAATCTATAAAAATTGATGACTCACACAAGTCTATAGTCTATATAAAATGTGTTGTAACTAATTATGTTTCCTTCTCTGTGGTGATTTTATATTGCCAACAATAAAAAATCATTGACTTATCCCTAAATATCTAGTATGTGCTATTACAGTGTCTTTTGCGGAGTGTATATAAACTTTATTATTATTATTATTATTTTACCAAAACTGTTATTGGCCTTGGAAGTGCCTAAAAGTCAAATGGCGTATTTTGCAAGATACACTTTAACGATATTCCATGAAGCAATTCAGATGGGTTGCGCTGGTCTCCAAGGAAATTACAAAACTTATTAGTGAGTGTGTGATCTGAGAGACCAAAATAGACACCCCTTTATCAACTAAGATGAACTCAAAGGTTAAGGAAACCAAGTGACCTACAGGTCAAGGGTTCAGGGTCTGGCTGGCATGGCACATTTCTAAATTCTTATGGCTAAACTCCCTAACAATAGGAGCTATCAATGCTGATGTACATTCCAGACGATTACTGTGATTGGACGGAGAACTGGCGTTGCAAACATTCTTTTCTAGTGAGCGATTGCAGACCTTAAACTAGTGTCAGCCAGCTTACAGAGGCTGCCCACAAACCATCTTTGTGTCCTACAGTTCACCTTTTCATATAAGAAAAAATTCACCTCATTTTAATGCTAAAACCCTGCCCCAAAGTGAACATGGAATGTCTGTTACATACATGTTCACCCAATCCCCATGCACTCAGCTCCCCTCATAAATATGTATGGATTTCCCCCCAAACCTGCTTAATATGTATGATACCAGCTCTATGAGGCATAAAACCCAAACTGGCCTTCCTTGGAAGGGAGGGCACCTTTGTCGTCATGGGAGACTTTCTCTTTTCTAATTTGCAAACTGATATTGCCAACAGAGCTCTCGTTTCTACTATTTAGCCATCCTGGTGGCCTTTTGGATGAGAAGTGTTAAGGCAAAAAGCAAAGCAAAACAAACAAACAAAATCTTCCTCCTGCCCCCAAATCCAAAACAAATAGAAAGCTTTTTAATGGTACGAAGTAGTACCATTAAAATAATTGTGTCAGCTGGAATCAAGTAAATGCACCCAGCATTTTATTACCAATGTGTTTCCTCCTCATCCCAATTGAATCACTCATGTTAAAGCTTTGCCCTATTATATGATATTGACATCAAAATGGAACATACTGTCAAAGCCAGCTGTTGGTATAGAGATGGGATATGAGATGGAGCAAATAAAAAATATTCTCAGTGCCTATTGAGCTTTGGAAGAATTTGACTGGACTGTGTCATCCTATACTGCCTAAGTGAAAAAACTTTGTAGAAGCCACATGTTCTTGTCTTTCATCAATCTGTTTGTTAAAGTGAGAGGAGCTAGGGTGCTGAAGAAAAGGCTTCAAAATGATGAGATGTGGGTAGGAGGGAGATAAAAGGCCTTGAATTGGATGTTGCATGCAGAAATAAGGAGAAAATATGAGTGGAGAAGTCAGGAGTGATGAAATATTCAAAGACTGTGTTGAAAGGCTGCTGTTCAGAGAATGCTTTTTAGAGACATCTGGTCATCATTAATGGGTGACTGAAATGTGTAAGGGAGTTTGTGTGGTTAGTAAAAGGGCAAAGATTAAGAATTGGGGAGAAGAATCATTTACATGTAGAATTTTCAAATCAACTACACCAGTGTGAAATGCCAGCTGCCAAGTCACTTGTTCTTTGTATAGGACTGAAATCTGTAACTCCTTCAAAGTTCTGTTATACTCTCTAATAGCCCAAAACACACCAGCCCAGGTATATATGTACACACATGCTCACACAAACACACATATACACAACCCTGGATATTTGGGGGTCTTCATAACTTGAATTGGTAAGGAGTGATGATAATGAATTTACTGATTATTGAACTCCTAATTATTGTTCATGTTTCTGTGATACGTGTTTCAAACAAGGGGCAGAGTTTCTTCCTTAAGCCTCTTGATTGAAAAATCTCCAGAATGCTTGAGGGAGGGTGTTCACTTTGGTGTCTGAACATGGTATTTGTTATTATAGTTTTCACCCTCATGGAAAGAAAATTTTCCACCATTGGAATGGCTGGCCTATGTCACTAGAAATCAGGAGAAATGTGCTTGAACTTAATCTGACTTTACTGGCATCCTTGTTGCTAGACATCAAAAGGGCTGGGAATAATGTCCTAGTCTTTGGTTATACAAATATCTGCATTTCTTTATTTCCCTAAAGCAAACTTCACAACAGATAACGGACCTCCTCTCTAGCACTTCAACAATTCTTCCGACAGATAAATTTGACAGCTTCTGTTTTATGAAATGCATTTGGAAGAGCAAACCTAATTTGCAAGGGGGAGCATATAACTGAAACATAGTTTAAGATTGATGAAAACATATTTGTGGGTAGGTAGGGGTGAGGAGAACCACCTCAGAGCATATTCACAGAAGGAAATAACTTATTTGATACATATGGAAAGCAGTATTTTAATGTCCTCCCACCTCTTTCCTTACTGAATACCTCTCACAGTGTCAGACACTGGGCTAGACACTGGGGATGAATAGATAAATACAATGCTAAGTTTGCCCTCAAGTCACTGATGGATTGGATGGTTATTTGATGTTTCTTTTTTCTTTTTTCTTTTTTTTTTTTTTTCTGAAAATATGTGAAGGGCATCAGCAGAATAAGAACAAGAGTGCAATTGAAAAAGAAGAAAAAACTGTAAATTGATGTTTTTTTGTTTGTTGGCACGTTTGTTTTCATAGGTAGCTGGGAATAAAACATGAAAATCACAGAACTACTGGTAGGGTTACCAACTGCCATGGTTTCCCCAGGACAAAGGAGTTTCATGGACCATGTGATTTTTAGTCTTAAAACTATAAAATTTTTATGCAAACCTTTGCATTTTGCAAAGAAAGATCCATTTTTAACTATTTAAGTCTTTTTTGTTTGAGACAGAGTCTGGCTCAGTCATCCCAGGCTGGAGTACTGTGGCAGGATCTCCACTCACGGCAACTTCCACCTCCTGGGTTCAAATGATTCTCCTGTCACAGCCTCCCACATAGCTGGGATTTCAGGCATGCACCACCAAGTCTGGCTAATTTTTGTACTTTTAGTAGAGATGGAATTTCTCCATGTTGGCTAGACTGGTCTCAAACTCCTGACCTCAGGTGATCTGCCCAACTTGGCCTCCCAAAGTGCTGGGATTACAGGTGTGAGCCACTTCACCGGGATCTATTTAAGTCTTTAAATTTCTTATTTTTAAGGAGACTATTTCATAAGAAGTTGATGTATACTCACTTCCTTTGCCGGAATGTACAAAGGGAGTATCTTACGGAGTGTTACATTTCTTTTCAATAATATAGCTAAATATAAGGCTAATGATTTGCAGTGAGTCCGTATGGGTAATCCTGCATGGTAAAGTTATTGCAGTAGAGTAAAAAAGACGAGATAGAAAAGAACGTACTAAGGGTTACCCTCTCTTCTGGAGTTTTTCAAATTGGTCCTTACTGTAATCCTTTATAAATATAGATTCCTGAGGTTACTTCCAAATTAATAGATTCAATTCTTTGGAAGTAAAGTCTAAATACCTTTAGTTTTCATAAGCAATACACATTAACATGAAGAGATGGCTGCCTTATCCTTCTTGTTTTTTTTGGTTTAAATAAATCATGCAATTCAATTCGAAATCTATAGTTTTCATCCTCTCTGTACTCTTAGGGCACTTTTAAATAACACTAGCTTCTGTGGGGAGGCATGCTTGAAGGGATTGAAAGATGCAGAACATTAAATTGTAACTGTGGATGATATATTCACCACTTCCTTTTGTCTTACCCTTAATTTAAACATCCTTAGGAATGTTTAAATCCTCTTTTCTTTGTTGTTATTTGTTGTTTTACTTTAGAGGAGAACTGTTTCTTGCCGCATGGCTCTTTCATGCCTAATAATGAAACAAAGCCCTCCTGTATTTCTGTAAACATGAGCTCTTTTTGTTGTTATTGTTTATTTATTTGTCTCTGACTTAAAGTTACACTTTATTATTTATTCTTTGAAAAAATGTACTTTGGTTTCTAATGTCATAGGAACGTTCAAAATTATCTGACAATATGACTATTCGGTTGTAAGAAATGTAAAATTTACACCTGTATCAAGATTTGATGAAGCAAAGATGAAATTTACACATCAATTAAACTTGGCACAGCAATTGAAAATCACTGCGTTAGCTGTCAGTAGGAAAGCACTAGTAAATGCTTGCCACTATAAATGAATAAAACACTTATAATTTTTTTTTGGCCATAATCCTTAGGTGTGCAAGAAAACGTAATATATCTTTCCATAATTGAACACAGCTTCTATCTTAAGTACCTGCTGGAAGAAAACTTAATCTTACGTTTTTGGAGCACACCTATGTTTTAATAGTCTCAAAGTATCATTTTCACTGAAATGATTGTGTTACAGATATGATAGAGATTTTGATCTATTTTATTCTATTCTGCGTATTTACATTTCAGGTGTTTTTATATCTCCCTTATACTTCTAATGAAGCAATAATTTAAGACCCTAATGCTGATGACTAATCAATTTATCTATGGTTTATGAATTTCTAATTCTAATATATTATCTGTGATATCTGTGATAATATATTATATATGAAATAATAGATTATTATGATGATGAATTTTCTATGGCTAATAGATTAACTTTAGATTAGGTTAATGGTTCTCGTAGTGTGGTTCCCAGAACAGCAATATTAGCATCACATAAAACATTGTTAAAAGTAAAATTTCTCATCCCTCATACCAAACCGCCTTTAAACCAAAAAAAAAAAAAAAAAATTCTAACCCCCTCAACCGTCTCAATGGACCCCTCCTTCTGACCAAGGGCTTTCCAACATTAGCCTGAAAAACTAGTTCAGGCCATGTTGGGAAGCGGGAGTCAGACATGCCTAAATATACCCTTTTCCCTTTTGAAATTCATGATAGGGCAGACTCTTTAAGTCTGATAAGAAACATTTACAATCTATTCTCTCTGAAGCCTGCTACCTGAAGGCTTCATCTGCATGAGAAAACATTGGTCTCCACGGCCCCTTATTGTAACCCAAAATTTCTTCTATTGATAACTCTTTCAACCAATTGCCAATCAGAAAATCTTTGAATCTGTCTATGACCTGGAAGGCCCCTTCCCTTTCCAGTTGTCCTGCCTTTTCAGACTTAACCAATGTACATCTTGCATATACTGATTGATATCTTATGTTTCTGTAAAATGTATAAAAACAGGTTGTGGCCTGACCGCCTTAGGCATCTGTTCTCCAGGTCTCTTGAGGGCTGTGTCACAGACCATTGGTCACTCATATTTGGCTCAAAAAAATCTCTTCAAATATTTTACCAAGTTTGACTCTTTTTGTCAACACTACTGAATCAGAAACTTGGGTGGAGCTGAAATTTGAGCGCTTCTGGCTTAAGCATCTTGTGCAATGGTAACATGATGGACTCAGCAATTCATCATAAGTGTTTTCTCTCTAGAGAAATCCAGTATGACATAGAGAAAAGATGACCAAGAAGAACATGTTGCCACCCATGTAGAAACAATACAATAATTCTCCTCTTGTCCTGAATGCTGTGAATATTTTCTAAAATTTATAATGTAGTAGGCACAGTGAGCTCATCTAAGATATAATATGCCCAGTATAACTTAACTTTGAATGACAGATATAAGAAAGTTTTAATTTCTATTAAAAGCATTGCAACTTGTAAATGTTTTTTCCCAGTGAGATATTTTGGGGTTCAAATGAGCTTATGGGAAAAGAGAAGATAAATTGTTGTTTTAACTATGCTAGCCAAGTTTTTCTTTAGAGAGTGATAAGGTGTGATACCATCAGCATCCAGTGAACAAACCCAGATAAATGATTTACCATTTCCAAAAAAGGTAAGAGTATAGGGACTACTGGCTTATGGGAGACTGACCTTGAATTCTATCTCTTATTTTCAAAGGGATTTCTGTTTTCCATTCCACAACTGTGAGCTGCACCTCAGTGAACTCTTTAAAAAGGATATCAATAACGATGCTTTGCTTTGCATGTGTAAGCCACACAGAAGCAACTATTCTGTTATCTGTCACCTTCCGTCTCTTCTAACTATGCTTGGCATCAGCAACAAAACTAAAGCAGATCAAATTGCTTGTTTGATACAAATCAAACAAGCAATTAAATGGAAAAGTTTTCTTTTTTTCCTTCTCCTTCTAACAGGATAAGATATTTTAGGCATAGTGAAAATAATATCTTGGGTGTTGAGGTAAAGCAAAATGCTTCCTGGAAATCCTCTGCTCCAATTCTGTAACTGACACTCAGAAAGTCAGAGATTTGGGAAATTTTTTGAAAGCATACAGTATCTCCTGCATATCAGCAGGAGATATATTCCAAGACACCCAGTGAATTCCTGAAACTATGGATAGTACCAAACCCTGTATATAGTGTGTTTTTTTTCCTATACAAACATACCTATGATAAAGTTTATACGTTTGGCACAATAGGAGATTAACAGCAATAACTCATAATGAAATAAAACAACTATAACAACATGCCAGCATTACTACTTTTCCACTTGGGGGCTATTACTGAGGAAAATAAGGGTTACTTTAACATAAGCACTGTGATACTGTTACAGTCAACCTGATGAACAAGAGGACTACTAAGTGACTAATGGAGTCAGAGAGAATCTACAGCATAGATTTGCTGGACAAAGGGATGATTCACATCCTGGGGAGGTTGAAGTGGGATGGTGTAAGGTTTTAACATGCTATGCAGAATGACATAGAATTTATAACTTATGCATTGTTTATTTCTGACATTTTTCATTTTTGGACTGCAGTTGACTGGGTAACTGACACCATGGAAAGCAAAACCACAGATAATGAGGAACTACTATAGTTAAGTAAAATGATGAATTTTTGTTTCTGAGCTGGAAGTAGAGGGTTACATGGTGAATTACTGCATATATACATAAAATACATTAAAATATCACAAATCTAAAGATATACAAGATTTGATATGCTAGTTTATTACACTGTTAGACAATAGTGTAACAATATGAGTAATGATGGTATTCACATAAAATAATACAAATACACACACACATAAATATTTTTTTCACACAATTTCAGGTAGATAAAGAATTCTCCCCAAAGTTTAGATTTAGTATTTGCTGTAAGCAAACCTGTAAAGTTGAAATGATTACCCTATTTATGGGTAATAGATAACACCATACTGTTGTTCTTGTTATTTAAAGAAGACTTCTCCCAAGAGTTAAAGCCACCTCTTCCTTTCTTTCTTTGTCTTTGGTCAACCTAATGTTTTATTAATGAGAGTTATTCGAGATAATCATTCTGAGATCTTAGTGGAGATTACAGTGTACTGTGGACTCAAACATTAAGTCACATTGGAAATTGTACCTAACATTTATTAGAAACTCGCAAATGTGTAAAATGCACATAGTATATTGGCTTACAGAGAATGTGTCTTTGTTCAACTGCTATAAAAGAATACCATAGACTGGGGCCTTGTGAACCATGGAAATGTGTTATAGCTCTGAGGGCTGTAAAGTCCAAGATCCGGTGCCAGCAGATTAAGTATCTGTTGAGGGCCTGCTTCCTCATAGGCAGCCATCATCTTATTCTAAACTCATATGGTAGAAGTCAGACAAGTGGTTTCTCTTGGGCCTCTTTGATAAATACACTAATCCCATTTATGAGGGCTGTGCCCCATGAGCCAATCACTTCCCGAGGGCCCTACCTCCTAACACCTTGGTGGTGAAGATTTCAACATATACATTTGGCAAGGAAAGGACATAAACATTCAGATTATAGCAAGATGCGTGGCAATTTTTACTTTTTTTTCCTTGGGTTAGAATGAGAAGAGAAACAATACTTGCAGACATCTCTGTATATCTCCCTCTTTTCCTCATCTGGCCCCAGGGACTGAGAACTAAAATACTTTCGCTGAGCTCTATATATCCTGTTAATTCAAAATTACACTTCTGTGAGAGTCAGGCCTCCAGAGCCTTTAAGATTCATGTGTAGGAAGTGAATATCGAATATTTATTTGACACTAATGAGCCCTATGCAAAACTTCGTTTGTCAGATGTGTTTTTTCTTGTTTCATTCTATTATACTCCATCATTCTTGTAATGTATAACTATGCAAGTGACATCAAATATGAGAACACTTTTGATTTATATTATTTTTCCCTACCTGTTCCATCAGAATTATTGACTTTTACAATATGTCTGTATGTCTTGCCTGTGAATACCACCTATTATACAATAGTTATTTCTTATGAACTACATGTCCTGTCAAATTTACTTCTGATTTCACCTATCTTGTAATCTATTTAATACAGGCAATTGTGCACATATAGACTGACTTCATATTTATTAACTTGTATTCAAAATAATAGTAATACAAGTGAAATTCATGGCAATTAATCATTTATACAATATTATTATTATAATGTCCAGTACATATACTAGGGGAAAATGAAGAAAAGTGTGTGTGTGCGTGTGTGTGTGTGTGTGTGTGTTTAAAAACAATGGTACCAATAAATCACAAGCCACATTTAACACTTACTTTTAAAATATCAGTCATTACAAAGGTACCAATAAATCACAAGCCACGTTAAACATTTTCTTTTAAAATACCAGTCATTACAAAGGGTACATGGGAGGGGCATTTTCATGAAGACAGAGTCTTTTCTCTTCCTTTCTCTTTCTTTTTTGTTTCTACAATTCACTTTTCGCCTGTAGTTATAATCTTCAGCTCATGGTATCAAAGTCTCCTCTACAGTAACTAAATTAATTGTGATACCATGAGTACAACATTTTGACTAAAGGTGAAAAATCATCCAAAGTAAATGAAGTACAGAATAAGTACTAAAATTCTGATACTCTAATTATGTAAATATGATCTGATGAAAAAGAAAACAATTACAAACTAATTAAATGTACATTTGAGTTGTTCATCAAAGACCAGATGATGTAGATAACCACAAATTAGCTCCAGTTTTCCAGAGTACACAGCATGTTGATTTGGCTGCCTGATGTCTATTCAACCACCTTCTACTAACTGTCTCAATTCTCCTCTGAGCCACCCACCATCACCAGCTCTCTTCTGAGGGTTTCCAGGAGAGTCAACTTCATTCTTTATTCACTAGTGAATCATATGACCCGAGCCTTAGTTATGCACAGTGATTAAATCAGAGGTGAGTCCCTGACCTAATTAGAATCATTTAGAACTAGTGATACAACGAAAACTTTCTGAAAATTCTGGAAAGCATCTCTCATTCTTTCCTGTGGACTTATAGTTTAGAAGAGAAGATCTGGATTGGATTCACTTATCATAGAAACACAAAAGAAGAGCTGTCTAAGAACAAAGCTAGCACACAGAAGAGAGCAGAGCCAGGGTCAGAAGAGTGTCATTGTAACATCAATCTCTATCTGAAGTGAGCTCTACTGCTCTGATCCTTCGATTCAGAAGAGCTAATAAATTCCTTTCTGGCATAAAATCATTTGATTTGGGCTTTCTGTAATCTGTAGCCGAGATCGAATAGGCTCTGCCCAGATGAAGAGGACATACAAAGGGTTGGCAACTCTTAAAGTTTCTCTCCATGGGTAAGAGACTAGATTATCATCAGAGATAGGTCATAAATTTACAGCATACCAGCAAATCCTGGACCTGCAACAACACAAACATTACTGGTAGAAGAAATGAGAAAATGCTGTCATATGCAAAGGCATATCCATGATAAAGAAAGTAGCAGAACAAGCACTGCCATTATTGTCCATGTTGCCATAGGCACAAACCTAGCTAAAAGGTTTACTAATCTGTGTATGCATACATAATATAATCCAAATGTTTGCCTTAATTTTCTGTTACAGGCATATCTCATTTTACTGCACTTCAGTCTAATGAACTTTGCAGACATTGCATTTTTAAAAAACTGAGGGATTGTGACAACACTGCAGTGAGCAAGTTGTTCAGCACCATTATTCCAACAGGATGTGCTCATTTTGGTGTCTCAGTGTCACATTTTGATGATTATTGCAATATTTCAAACTTATTTTATATGTGCTATGATTATCTGTGATCAGTGACCTTTGATGTTACTATTGTGATTGTTTTGGGGTGCAACAAACTGCATTCATATGACAGCGAACTTAATTGATAAATGTTGTGTGTGTTCTGACTGCTCTATAGATCAGCTGTTCATCAGCTCTCTCCCTCTCCTCAGGGCTCTCTATTCTCTGAGACACAGAATATAAAAATTAGGTCAATTAATAACCATACAATGGCTTCTAAGTGTTCAAATAAAAGGAAGAGTTTCACATCTTTCATGTAAATCAAAAGCTAGAAATGATTAAGCTTGGTGAAGAAGGCATGTTGAAAGCTGAGATAGGCTGGAAGCTAGGTCTCTTGCACCAAACAGCCAAACTGTGAAACCAAAGGAAAAGTTATTAAAGGAAGTTAAAAGTTGTACTCTAGTGTACACATGAACAATAAGAAAGCAAAACAGCCTGATAGCTGATAGAGAAAATTTTATGGTCTGGATAAAAGATTAAATCTGCCACAATATTCCCTTAAGTCAAAGCCTAATTCAGAGAAGATAACTCTTCAATTCTATGAAGCCGAGAGAGATGAGGAAGTTCTTCATAACCTAAAAGTGCAAGATGTGGCTACAAGGGCTGTTGGAGAAGCTGCAGCGAGTTATCCAGAAGACCTAGCTAAGATCATTGATGAAGGTGGCTACACTAAACAATAGATTTTCAATGTCATGAAACAACCTTATATTGGAAGAAGATGCCATCTGGAACTTCTGTAGTTAAAGAAGAAAAGTTAATACTTGGCTTCAAAGCTTAAAAGGACAGATTAAGTCTTGTTTGGGGCTAATGGAGCTGGTGACTTTAAGTTGAAGCCAGTACTCATTTACCATGCTGAAAATCCTAGGGCCCTTAGGAATTATGCTAAATCTACTCTGCCTGTGCTCTACAACAAAGCCTGGATGATAGTGCATCTGTTTATAGCATGGTTTGCTGAATAATTTAAACCCACAGTTGACAGCTGCTTTTTCAGAAAAAAAGATTCCTTTCAAAATACTACTGTTCATTGACAATGCACCCAGTTACCTGAGAGCTCTGATGAAGATATACAAAGAGTTTAATGTTGTTTTTATGCTGCTAACACAATCTGTTTTATAGCCCAGGGATAAAAGAGTAATTCTGATTTTCAAGTCCTATTAAAGAAATACATTTAATAGGACTATAGCTGTGATAGTGATTCTTCTGATAGATCTGGGCAAAGTAAATTGAAAACCTTCTGGAAAGAATTTCCCATTCTAAATGCCATTAAGAACATTCATGATTCATGGGAGGAGGTCAAAATATCAACATTAATAGGAGTTTGGAAGAAGCTGATTCCAATCTCCATGGATGGCTTTGAGGGGTTCAAGACTTCAATAGAGGAAGTCACTGCAGCTGTGATGGAAAGAGCACGAGAACTGGAGAATTAGAAGTGGAGCCCAAAGATGTGACTGATTGCTGCAATCTCATGGTAAAACAGATGAGGAATTGCTTCTTATGAATGAGGAAAGCAAGCGATTTTTTTGAGATAGAAAATACTCCTGGTGAAGATGCCGTGAACATTGTTAAAATGACAACAAAGAATTTATATGGTTATACAAACTTAGTTGATAAAACAGCAGCACAGTTTGAGAGGATTGACTACGGTTTTGAAAAAAGTTCTACTGAGAGTAAAATGCTATCAAATAAGAGCACATACTACAGAGAATTTTTTTTCTGTGAAAAAGAGTTGATCAATATCACAAACTTCATTGTTGCCTTAATTCAAGAAATTGCCACAGCCACCACAAAATTCAGCAACCACCACCCTGATCAGTCAGCAGCCATAAACATTGAGGCAAGTCACTCCAATAATAAAAAGATTACATTCACATTACTAAAGGCCTACTTTACTGCAATTCAATTTACCCAGTGCATCATGTTTGACTAGCAAGAAAAAATCACAAGACATACCAAAAGACAAAAGACACAGTTTGAAGAGACTGAATTACAACCAGACTCAGGTATAGCAGGGATGTTGGAGTTTACTGTCTGGAAATTTAAAATAGCTGTGATTTAATATGCTAAGGGCTCTAACATATAAAGTAGAGAGCAGGTAAGAACAGATGGGGAATATAAACAGAAAAGTAAAAACTCTAAGAAAGAATAAGAAATGCTTCACTGTAAGATAAATGAAGAATGCCTTTGTTGAACTTATTATTCACTGTAAGATAAATGAAGAATGCCTTTGTTGAACTTAGACTGGACGTGACTGAAGAAAGAATTGCAGAGCCTGGCCGGGCATGGTGGCTCACGCTTGTAATCCCAGCACTTTGGAAGGCCGAGGTGGGTGGATCTCCTGAGGTCAGGAGTTCAAGACCAGCCTGGCCGACGTGACACCCCATCTCAAATAAAAATACCAAAAATATAGCTTGATGTAGTGGTGGGCGCCTGTAATCCCAGCTACTTCGGGAGGCTGAGGCAAGAGAATTGGTTGAACCCAGGAGGCGGAAGTTGCAGTGAGCTGAGATTGTGCCATTATACTCCAGCCTAGGTGATGAGAACAAAACTCTGCCTTAAAACAAAACAAAACAAAACAGAGTTGCAGAGCCTGAGGATATTTCAATACCAATTTCTAAAACTAACGAAGCAAGCAAGCAAACAAACAAACAGACAAAAATAATAGAATATCCCAAACGCTGTAGGAGAACTACAAAAGGTGTAACAAATGCATAAGGGGAATATCATAAGGAGAAGAAAGAGACAAAGAAACAAGAAATATATACAACAATAATGACTGAAAATTCCCCTAAATTAATATTTGTCATCAATCCAGAAAACTCAGACAACACTGAACAGAATTGTCAAAAAAAGATACTAAGGCCTATAATATTCAAACTGAAAATATCAAAGAGAAAGAAAAACTGTTGAAGGAAGCCGGAGTTTGGTGATCAGGGACACCTTACCTTTAGGGGAGCAAAGATAAGAATTACATCTGATTTCTCCTTAGAAACCGTGCAAGCAAGAAGAGAGTGGAGGGCAATATTTTAAATGTTGAAAGAAAAAACCCACCATCCTGAAATCTGTACCCTGAAAAATTATTTTCAGAAGTGAAAATGAAATAAGGACTTTATCAGATGAATAAAAATTGAGGGAGCTTCTTGCCCATAAATCTGCCTTATGAGAATTATTAATAGAAGTTTATTAGGGAGAAGGAAAGTAATATATGTAGAAACTAGGTTTTACATATAGAATGGAAGAAAATCAAGAAAGGAATAGTGAAGGTAAAATAAACTTATTTTTATTATTCTTAAGTGATGTAAGAGATAATTGTTCATTCAAAATAATGTAACAATGTATTTGATTATACACACACATTCTGCATATTTACATGTGTTGACATGTAAGTGAAATGCATTACAGCAGTGATATGAGATGAAAGGAAATAATTATTTTGTAATTTTAAGGTACTCATACTACCCTTGAAATGGCATAGTGTTATTTGAAATTGAACTTCGATTTGTTGCTAATGAATTTTGTAATACTGCACACCCTAGGCCAACGACAAAAAATGTATTAAACAAAGAAGTATAATATGCTAAGAAAGGGGAGAGAATAAAAATATGTATAATGCTCAATTAAAACCACAAAAGGTAGGGAGAGAGTCAAAAACAAAAATAGGAAGAAAGAACAAGGGCAATGAATAAAAAAAGTAACAAGAATGGTAGGTGTTAATCCAACTATATTAACAGTTACTTTAAATGTCCTTGGCCCAAATACACCAATTAAAAGTCAGAATCATCAGAATGGGTAAAAAAACAAGACCTAACTATGAATTGTCTACCAGAAACTCATTTGAAATATAAAGAATCATATAGATAGGCGAGGCGCGGTGGCTCATGTCTGTAATCCCAGCACTTTGGGAGGCTGAGGTGGGCAGATCATCTGAGGTCAGGAGTTCAAGACCAGACTGACTAACATGGAGAAACCCCGTCTCTACTAAAAATACAAAATTAGCTGGGCGTGGTGGCGCATGCCTGTAATCCCAGCTACTCAGGAAGGCTGAGGCAGGAGAATCACTTGAACCCAGGAGGCAGAGGTTGCGGTGAGCCGAGATCACGCCATTGCACTCCAGCCTGGGCAACAAGAGAAAAAAAAAAAAAAAGAATCATACAGATTAAGAGTAAATGGATGGAGAAAGAGATGCCTTGCTAACAATAACCAAAAGAAAGCAGAAATAGCTATGTTAATTTCTGAAAGAGCAAACTTCAGAGCAAGAAAAGAGCAAACAAGGAAAATTATCCAGGCTAACAAAGAGAGGCATTACAAAATAATAAGGAACCACTTCTCCAAAACTGTATAACAATTCTTAACAGGTATGTGTGTAAAAACAGAGTGTCAAAGTATGTGAGGCAAAAACTACAGATCTGCAAGAAGAAGAAATAAATAAATAAATCCACAATTACACTTGGAGACCTCAGCACTCTTCTATCAGAAATAGGCATATTCAACTAATTCAGTAAAGTAGTAGAGTACAAAATTATCATACAAAAATTAACATCGATCTCTACAAAAAAGAAATCAAGAAAACAATGCCATTTACAATAGAATAGAAAAAAATATATACTTAGGAATAAATTTAACCAAAAAGGTGAGAGATCCATACACTGGCAACCACAAAATCATTATTTAAAAAAATTGAAGAAGATACAAATAAATGGGAAGATATCCTATGTTCATGGATTGTGGTATTTAATATTGTTCAAATATTCATTGTACTTAAAGAAATCTATAGATTAAATGCAATTCCTATCAAAATGCCAATCACATTTTAAACAGAAATAGAAAAAAACACTATCATAAAATTCATGTGGACTCTCAAGGCACTCTGAATCACCAAAACAATTTTGAAAAAGAAAAACAAAGTTAGTTTCATGCTATCTGATTTTAAATATATTACAAAGCTATGGTAATCAAAATGGCATGGCACCAGAATAAAAACAAACCTATAGACCAACAGAACAGAACAGAAAGCCCAGAAATAAACCAACACATGTAAGTTTACAAGATCTTTGCCAAGCATGCCAAGACCACACAATGTGAAAAAGATAGTCTCTTTGAGAAATGGTGCTGGCAAAACTGGGTATCTACATGCAGAAAAATGAAATTATACTCTTTTCTCATGTCATATACACCAGTTAAATCCAGTCATTTAACATTAGGTATATCTCCAAATGCTATGCACATGTATGTTTATTGTGGCACTATTCACAATAGCAAAGACTTGGAACCAACCCAAATGTCCAACAATGATAAACTGGATTAAGAAAATGTGGCACATATACACCATGGAATACTATGCAGCCATAAAAAATGATGAGTTCATGCCCTTTGTAGGGACATGGATGAAGCTGGAAACCATCATTCTCAGCAAACTATCGCAAGGACAAAAAACCAAACACCACATGTTCTCACTCATAGGTGGGAATTGAACAATGAGAACACATGGACACAGGAAGGGGAACATCACACACCGGGGCCTGTTGTGGGGTGCGGGGAGAGGGGAAGGATAGCATTTGGAGTTATTCCTGTTTTTCTAAATCCAATTTGAGTCGCATTTTCCGTCACTTGAAACAAAAATCATTCTGACCAAAAAGATATTCTTAGACATGAGAATTAAAAATTTTCCAATATAAGGGATGTGTAAACAGGTTTTCAGGGTTTAGATCCATTATTTACACTTGAAGAGTGTAAATACACTTTCAGAGTATAGACCCATTACTTACACTTATAGTCAGAAATGAAAATTGCCATTAAATATAGATTTAAATCGCATAATCATATGATACTACTTGTCAGTGTTATTTTTAACCTCTGCTTTTTCTATCATTATTTTTAATTTAGATGTGTAACTTAATCATGAAAAAGATTCACAGGATGTTCTTTTTGTTTGTTTGACACATATCACCAAGCTCATCTCTATCACAGTGATCCCCTCTTCTATTCTCTACTGAGTCACCTTCAGACACGTAGGGCAGCAATCTAAATTGTAATTCACATTGTAAATGGAGTAAGGATGGCTCTAGTGAAAGCAAGATGAAAATAAGAAATTTTTTATGTGTGGAGATGCAGGTTGCTATATGAAGTATTGGGACTCTCAAAATCAGTTTTTCAATGGTTTCAAATGTCTTAAATAGGCTAGTGCTGTGGATATGCAACACATAAAAGTATTATCTGATTTCTTCTATATATTTGTCCTTTTTAAACTCAATGTTTATTATTCTGTGAAATCAGAACAATAAAAATAAAGTAACATATGCTTTTGAAATTAATGTATTGACTCTCAAACTTGGTTCCTTGAAATGGTGCTTCAGCCATTTCACAATGTTTTACTTCTTTCCTTTGATTTAAAAATGTGTTTTTAGTATTGTAGGGGGTTGAATGCTAACCTGCCTCCAGCCAGCTAAAAAATATGTCCAAGTTCTAATCCCTGATAACCTGTGAATGTGACCTTGTTTGGGAAAAGGTTATTTTGGATGTAATTAAGTTAAGGATCTTGAGATGAAATCATCATGTATTAATTGGTTGGGTCCTAAATCCAATGACAAATATTCATATAAGGGTCAAAAAATAAGGGAAAGCAATTTGGATGGGGGAAGAGATTGGAGTAATAAAAGCCACAAGGAATGCCTGGGGCCACCAGAATCTGGAAGAGACAAGAAAATTTGTCTTGCTGAAATCTTTGAAGGGAGCACACTGCCTAGTTGACACTGTGATTTTGGACTTTTGGCTTCCAGAGCTATGAGAGGATAAATTTTTTGTTTCAAGCCACCAACTGTGTGGCAATTTGTTACAGCAGAAATAGGAAACTAATATAATATAAATACTTCTTAAATATTTAATTAAAATAAACTGTGAAATCATACACGCTATATATATATGTATATATGTATTATATATAATACGCACATACTACATATATAGATATATATTATATATGTGTATATATCATATACATATTGTATACATATATATTATGTGTACATGTATATATATTATGTATACATATTGTATACATACATAATATATATGTAGTGTGTGTTTGTTTGTGTGTAGATAATCTACCAAAACTAAATACACTGGAAACCACTAGTGTATTCTACCTTTCAGGGGATCCCATTTTTGTGCAGGACTTAGATATTTGGATAAATATTATCTTGACCTTTACCCTTATATTTAAAGTAATATTATTCTAAAAATTCAAGGTAAGGTGTTAAAATATTATTACTTTTCAATTAATTATCTTAGTGAATCTCATTGTTTAGTTAGATAGGGATTTTTTCAGATGCAAACAAGAGAGACAAACAAAAAGAATTTATTGTTTTATAAAACTTAAACTTTCTAAAGTAGTGAGCTTGATTCAGGAACACATTCTTAGAATAAAATTAAAATTCCTTTTCTTTATACTAAAAGTTCCTACAGTACCTGATTTCTTTGTATTCACTGACCTCATGTCTTTCCATTCCTCATCTGATCCATGCCAGTTCAGCTTCAGCAAACTTCTCAAAGTTTCTAGAATACATTAAGTCAATTAAGCCTCACAGCTATGTTTGTTTGCCTGGAATGTTCAGTTTGAACATAGTTTCCTCATCCATAGCATTATAATCTCTGTTCAGATGCCACTTCCTTAGAGAGTACTTGTTATGAGTTCAATGCTTGTGTTCCCCCAAAATGCATATGCTAAAGCCCCCAAAGTGATGATATTTGGAGGTAAAGCTTTTGGGAGGTTATTAAATTTAGATTATATCTTAAGGGGGAATCTTTATAATTACATTAGTGCCCTTATAAGAGATAAAGAGAGAGAGAGAGATCTTTCTTTTTCCACATACATGCATCAAGGAAAGGCCGTGTGAGCACCCAGCGAGAAGGCTGCCAGCTGTGAATCAGGAAGTGAACCTTCCACCAGGAGCTGAACCTGTTGGCACCTTGTTCTTGGATTTCCCAGCCTCCAGAAACATGAGATTTAAATGTTTGCTCTTTAAGCCACCCAGTCCCTTGTGTTTTGTTATAGCAGCCTGCATTGACTATGACAGAGCTTCTTTGGCTACTCTATATAAAATAGACACCTGCCTTTTATCTCTTGCTTTATAACAAACCACCAAAAGCTTAGTCGCTTAAAATGGTGACTTACTGTTTATGATTCTGTGTGTCAGGAATTCAGTAAAGATTCAGTGGGCTGCTTGCCTCTACTCTATGTGGTGTTGGCTGAGTGGATCAACTAGTGCTGGAGGCCCCAATACGCTTTGGTGTTGACCTTACAGTGTGGCACTTCAGTTCTTCTCCACTTGGCTTCTCTCCTCACACAATCTCTCATCCTGTGGATCTTCTCTTTCCCTGCAGACTCTCTCTCCAGCAGGATAGTCTGGACTTTTCTGTATAGTAGCTGCCTTCTAAGAGCAAAATCTAAAGCTCTAGGCCGTAAAGGCCTAGGTTTGGAAATCTCAGAATGGCATTTGTATTAGTCTGTTCTCACGCTGCTAATAAAAACATACCTGAGACTGGGTAATTTATAAAGGAAAGAGGGTTAGTGGACTCACAGTTCAGCATGGCTGGGGAGGCCTCACAATCATAGCAGAAGGCAAAGGATAAGCAAAGGTGTGTCTTACATGGCGGTAGGCAAGAGTGTTTGTGTAGGGGAACTCCCCTTTATAAAATCATCAGATCATGTGAGACTTACTCACTATCACGAGAACAGCGTGGGAAAGACCTGCTGCTGTGATTCAATTACCTCCCACCAGGTCCTTCCCGTGACATGTGGGAATTATGGGAGCTTCAATTCAAGATGAGATTTGGGTGGGGTCACAGCGAAACCACATCATCATTTCTACCTTATTCTGTTGTTCAAAACAAGTCACAAGACCACCATAGATTCAAGTGGTGGGAAAATAGACTCCCTCTCGGTAGGAGTTGTGATATGTGTGTTGAATGATTGTTGGTGGCCATTTTTGCAGACAATCTACTGCAGTCCACCTTCTGGCTATGTCCTTTCACATTTGTTCCCATGTGCAAAATATATTCACTCCCTGAAGACCCTCAAATCTTGTCCAATTATAGCATCAGGGTATTTTTTAGACTTTTATTTTAAATTCAGGAGTACATGTACAGGTTTGTTACGTTGGTAAACTTGCATCATGGGGTTTTATTGTACAGATTATTTTGTCACCCAGGTATTAGGGCTGGTATCCATTAGTTATTTTTCCTTATCCTCTTCTTCCTCCTACCTTCCAACCTCAGGTAGGCCCCAGTGTCTATTTTCCCCCTCTACGTGTTCATGTATTCTCACCATTTACCTTCCACTTATAAGTGAGAACATGCCATATATAGTTTTTCATTCCTGCATTAGTTTGCTAAGGATAATGCCCTCCAATTCCATCTGGTTCCTGCAAAGGACATGATTTTGTTTTTTCTTATGACTGCATAATATTCCATGGTGTATATATGTACCACATTATTTTTTTCCGGCCTACCTCTGATAGGCATTTAGTTTGATTCCATGTCTTTGCTATGGTGAATAGTGCTGCAGTGAACGTACAGGCTCACGTGTCTTTATGATAGAATGAGTTATATTTCTTTGGGTATACACCTAGTAATGGGATTGCTGAATCAGATGGTAGTTCTGTTTTTAGCTTTTTGAGGAATCACCACATTGCTTTCCACAATGGTTGAACTAATTTACATTCCCACCAACAGTGTATAAGTGTTCCTTTTTCTCCACAACCTCAGCAGATCTGTTATTTTTTGACATTTTAGTAATAGCCATTCTGACTGGCATGAGATGGTATCTCATTGTGGTTTTGATTTGCATTTCCCTAACGATCAGTAATGTGAGGCTTTTTTTCATATGCTTCTTGGCTGCATGTGAAAAATGTCTTCTTCTGAAGAGTGTCTGTTCATGTCCTTTGCCTACTTTCTAACAAGGTTGTTTTTTTCTTGTAAATGTAAGTTTCTTACAGATGCTGGATATTAGACCTTTGTCAGATATAGCATCAGGTTTAAAATTCAGGGTTTTGTGATCTATGTCTGCTCTGGAGAGGATAAGCCTATTTGAATTTAGTTTCTCTGGGTCTTGAGATTTGAGAATTAAAAGTCTGGTTATCCTTTTCCCACACCAACATACAGTGATGAGACATGGACAGGCTAACTGCAATAGACACTCTCAGTCAGCAATGGGAGAAGGAAGGCCCATAGTAGTTCTTGGTCTGTAGCAATTCTAAAATCCTTCTCGACATATCACCCACTTCCCCTATTCAATACAATGTTTCTTCATTAGGGCCTGATTCTTCTACTCCTTGACAGGGGTCCACGAGTCCACTATTTTCCCTCACCCAGGGTTGCATGCACTGAAAATTCCTGAGTTTGCAGTTTCGCTGCTTCCTGTCCCTGCTTCCTACTCACAGAAACCTGGGGCTCAGAGCCCTCTTTTTATATTCCACTGTCTCAGTTTCATTTAATCCAAGTTGGTAGTGCTTCTGTCACTGTTGCTCTCTTAAAATATTTATGAGATTTTCAGATATCTGGAACTTTTCAGTTATCTGAATATTTTCAGATATATGTAAATATTGAGACAGAGCTCTCTCTACTTTGGGAATGTCAGACTGCTGTGAGGCATTGTCTTAAGATTCTTAGATGTGTCTTAACTCAGCCAGAGGTATAATACACATCACTTTAAATCCTCTGAATTCATAACCAAGAGTTTTATGGACATATTCTTGATTTGATCTTTACTTGGAGGCCATTTCTTACTTTCAGAACATTTTTCTCACTGGCAAAATTATCCTGGGTCCTCTATATTTTCTCTAAATTATGCTTGAAAAAGAAACACTTTTTCTTTAGTCTCTCTTTCCCTTCTGTAACTGATCATACATAACTGTAAGAAATCAATTGACACTTTTAATCTTATGCTTAAAAATCTTATCCAGATTCACAAATGTTGTTAAATGTACCACCACTGTGTAACACAAATCATCCTTTCTCTGGTCTTTTATAGGATTTTGTTCAATGCTTTCCAAACTTCCCTTAAAGGTTCCTCACCTTCCATCAAGCCTGTGCCTGCCACCCAAACCCAAAGATGATGCTTTGTCGTTCAGGTTTCTGTCACAGCCAACTCTAATTCCGGTACCAACTTCTGTTTTAATTCTCTATTACTGCAAAACAAAGCACACCCAAATGTAGTGGCTTAAGGCAGCCATCATTTTATTGCTTATTATTCTGTGAGTCAGGAATTCTTGGTGGGGTTTAGTAGGGACGGTTTATCTCTGCTTCACATGGGAACTATTGGCAGAAGAGCCTTGACTGAGGCTAGAGGACCAAATACAGCTCCATTCATGTGTCTAGGGCCTTAGTACTGCCTATGATGCTTTTCTTTCATGCGGCTTTTCTTTCCACATGGTCTCACATCTTTCACACTCTCTCTCTAGAATAATAGACTAGACTTCCTTGCACGGGGTCTGGTTTGCAAGAGTAAAAGTAAAAACTACAATGCCTCTTAATATCTAGGCTTAGCAATCTCGGAATGTTACTTCTACATTATTCTGTTGGCCAAAAATGCTTACAAGCTCAGCCAAGATCCAATCAGTGGTGAAATAAACTCTACTTTTTGATGAGATAAGTGACATGCTTGTAGAGGAACAGAAAAAATTCTTGACAACTATTTGGTAGACTGGTAAATTTTTTTCTATAAAGGGATAGATAGTAAGGATTTTCGGCATTGATAGCCACATATGGTGTCTGTGGCATAGTCTGCCTCCTCTCTCCCTTGTAACAATGCTTTCAAAATGTACAAACTACATTTAGTCCATCTGATGTAGTTTGCTGCCCCATGCTTTTGACTATATAGAAAACCTACCTAGTCCTTCTTAGTATGTTTTGCCTTATTAGTTTTACATTCTCATATCACTCTGAAATTATTTAAAAATTTATATTACCATTGTCCCCACTACACATGTCCTGGTCCCTAGTAAATGTTTAATAAACATTTGTTGAATGAATGATTTAATAACTAAATAAATGCATCAGAATTTATTTTCACTTTATCTTGTGGAGCTATCTTTTATTTTGATGGAGTCATTCTCAGGCCCCATTTAATGTTAGAATGGCTGCCAATAGCTCTAGGCCAAATACTTCCAGGTTCAAACCCAGTGCTTTTCTCAGTAATTGCAGAAAATTTTCAGGGTGGCACTCTCCCATGGCTCTTAACTGTATCAGATGCTCTGTTTGAAATTACTATAGCCAGGAAAAATGAGAAGGTCTGATTAGCCAAACTTACATCATTGCCAGGGATTGAATCATGAGCCTCCCTAAATGCATGAAATGAAAGTTGGTAGGTGTTTTCCAGAGGAAAATTACTTTACTGGACAAAAGATGAATAGATACTTTCTAGCCAAAATATGTCCAAATTGAAGCCGGTCCTGGTGGCTCACACCTGTAATCACAGTACTTTGGGGGGCCAAGGTGGGCGGATCACCTGAGGTCAGGAGTTTGACACCAGCCTGGCCAACATGGTGAAACCCCATCTCTACTTAAAAAAAAAAGTCCAAATCATAGACTTTTTTTTTTTTTTTTTTTTTTTTTTTTTTTTTACACCAAGCATATTGCTTTAGTGGACAGGAAACATCTTCCCTAAAGCAAGAACTTTCCATCAGATATCTATTTTCTCATAGAAATCTGAAAATCCATATATAATTATTTTCTACATACTGCTTAAAATCAGTGTATTTTGTCTGACATCTTGATTAAATTTTTTTAAAATTCAGATTATTGCAAATCAATTTTTTAAAAGGCAATGGGTGTTTGAGCATATATATCCTACTCTTACCCTAATATCTGAAGCAAAAATAGGTGTAGAAAACATCAGAATCTTGTCTGTTCCTATAATAGCTCTTACATTCATACAGCTTCAGTTATGACCCGTTTCCAGCCTAAATTTTTCAGGCCAGATAAACACAGAATAGATTCCCATATTCCAATTTTTAATCACTTGGCATTGTTTGCCTCCATACTTTGCTAGGTTGGCACTTCATTTGTATATTTTGGGTAAGAAATTTCTTCATTCAAAATTACATATTAATTATGCCCTTTCTCAAAGATTGCGTGGATAACAATAGGAGACCAAAGATGTGGTTTCCAGTATCATTTAGAAAACATTGATTGCAAGTTTTTACCAAGACTGTTGTAGGTTTTTCTAACAACCAATTTGGAAATGCAGGCAGAGTTGACTAGATGGTACTATTAGCAAACAGCCAAGACTGATGAAATTACTATTTTGGAACACCTCTTTGCAGCCAATTTAGAATCAAAGCTATATTTCTGAGGAATTGCATAAGTACCAGTTATTCCACGTTATTTTCAAGGCAGTCTGCAATATTGTTACGTGCTTGAGCTCCCTCTGTAATTTTGTACACAACAAAACGAGAATTTGTTCCTTTTTGGTAAACACTAACATTGGTGAAAATAAATAAACAATAATTTCACTCCTACACTCCCCTTGTTTTATCCACCCCCCCATCTTTAAGTAAACATGTATAGAATTGGGATTATAAACAGCCCATCAGAAAATCTTTCTCCCCTTTCCTCATTCAGTGATTTACAGCACAGCAGGTATGTATTTCAAAGTGACATGCACAGAGACTGCCGAATAGTTTTACACTAAAGCAATGTAATCTATGGATAGCTCACAGTAACTTTATTTTATAGTAAGTTCTTGTTTTCTTTTCGTTTTCCTATCCCTCTCTTATTTTATGATGAATTCCAAGTCCTCCCCAAGAAGTCACCATAATCACATAAAGACATAAGGAGATGTACATTGTTTTAGTTATCTCAAGAGTTGAAATGAATTAACACTCCATATTGATTATTCTAACTTCTCATTCTTCCCTGAAAGATATTTGATGGTTCCTTCTGGTAGACCCCAATGTGTCATCACTTTTCCGTCAAGCGCTGGTGCAGCTTTGTTTTTTTGTTTGAGCCATCTGATCTAATCCATTCTGTCTTCTTATATTGAAATTAACAAGGCATATACCCTGAGGCATAGGCCTTATCTACAACAGTGAGGCACAAATGAACTTGAACATGAGGTCAATCAAGTGCACAAAATACATCACACAGTTTTTCCAAGGCTCACGCTGTGTCTATAATTGCCCCTTGTTCTGTCATTAGAGCGCCCTTACAAGTCATTATTTTGAGTCAGCAGAGCTACAGGGAGTATTCTTCCTGATGGTTAGTATAAACTTGAATTGATAACATAAATATCTCCCAGCACAAAACACAAGTAGCAGGTATTTAGATTAGATCTAATAAAGTGTGCAGCTGTTCAGTCTCTTTATGAATCTCAGCTAAAACAATAATCACATCTTTCAATATGGGTTCTCCTTCAGTAGCTCTGTGAAAGAGAAGCTATGTTTTTCTAAATGAATGGACATATGCCCTATTAGAATTTGCCTGTCTGCTTTTATCCTAGATTGTTACTGTTTTTATTTGGCCAAGACCAACATTATTCACATTTCGTGGGATTTTTTCCTTAGTCAGCATGGTATAAAAGTTATTCCACTTTAAATTAGAAGCATCATTTATTCATGTGTTTTGTGGAGGGAGGAGGTATGAGTTTAATGCCAAAATTATATACCAAGTTTGTAGCCTCAAGCACATTTTTAGAAGTATTACCTTTGCTGGGAAAGGAGAATTCAGATGTCCTCCTCAAAAAATGGCAGCTGACAGGGCTCAGATGAGGCTGATAGAGAAGAATGCAATATTTTCTTCACGTGGATCTAGCCCCTGGACAAAAACAAAGTAATGGAAAGAATGGAGAGGGAAGGCCCCAGTGATTTGGAAATATCCATGCACTCAAATGAGGACACTAAGTTGTTTTTTAAAAAGTGACCATATTATGTGAATCAACACCGCTGAGGTCCAATTACTTGGCTTTGGAAAATATATCTTATCTCTTTGAATGTCTTTTCTTAATTGTAAAATGAAGGGATTAGAATGGAGAATGCAAAATAGTGGCCTGTGGTCTGGATCAGATCCATAGAAATGGTTGTGTTTGAGCTATGTCATTAAAAAAAATTAGCTGCTGATTTTTAAAAATTAGATTTCACTTTCTTAGGTTCTTATCTGAATTTCTGTATCAGTTATCTATTACCATGCTAACAGTGGGTAACAAACAACCTTCTATAATCTGCTTATTGAGTCTACTGGCCTGGATTAGCTTTTTTTCATGCAAAAGTAAGTATGAAGTTACTGCATAATTACATTGCTTAGATACAGAAAGAGTGGGGAGGGTCATTTTTGTCATCTACCACATTTTATCACATTTCATATGTGGCAACAATGGGTAAGTCTGGGTAGCAGCTACCAGCTTTAGATGATCATAAATTTGCCAATTTGTGATAATACCTACCCCCTCCTTATTATTTCTCTGAGACTAGGACCAATGATGGTTTGTCATTATCAGGGCACTTTTGCTGTAACTTTCCTTAAATTATATTCTGTACCCATGCCTTTATGAAAAGCGGCCACAAGAGGCACAACAAACTAGCCATATCTTTTTTTTTTACATGCAGATTGCTTCATTCACTTATGCTATTTGCCCAGACTCTGGCGTCATCTGAGTTTGGGACCCAAATGATTTATAATTTTGAAACAGTCTTCAGGACTTTAGAATACAAGTAGAACAAATGCATTGGAAATCTTCACACAGTCTGAATAAACAGAATGTTCATAATGAAACTGTAAAGTTTGTAAAAATATTCCTGCGAAAGCTGGAAAGAGCTGTTAGTTAGAGTGCAAACACACACAATTGATTTGCTCCATAAACATCAATTTAACTTCTACCATGGATAAATATCCATATCCTACAGAGATAATGGATGGGTTTTTAGAAAAAAAAGTGCTAATCCAGGCCAATAGACTAAAAAAAATAAACAGATTAAAAACATCCTTTTTGTTTTTTTCCACATTGCCTTGCATTATGTCTCTCCGAGAAAAGCTTTTGGGCATGAATTGCCAATATCTACCACAAAACATTTATTTTCTCTCTTCTTACTGTCCTCCAGGCTAAGAGAAAGATGTATTCCCAAGCGTTCTGTAAGTCTGTCTTTATCTCTCATTTCTCGCCCCTTTAGGGCCTCAGTCCATTTATTATTCATTGTATTATTCCTTCTTCTTCATGCAGCCTTTTGGATATGTGTGGATATGTATATATATGTATGTATATATACGTATACATACATATATATGCCTATATACAACTTTCTTTTATCACTATGATCACTCTAAGTTATATCATGTTTGCATGTTTTTGTGTGGTAGAGAAGAAGACAATTAGTTTAGGGTAAGATAATTAGCTATGGGGAAGTTAATTTGTTAAAGAGGCAGGCTTGTGGACAGTTAATCTACTTTCATGCCTCAGTTTTGTCATCTGTGTAGTTGGGGATAATGGTTTGTAATGTAAATAGAATACGACCCAAATCATAGTATTAATATTTGCTATTACTATTGTGAATATTACTGCTATTGCTGTTCATGTACCTGTCATTCCAGAAATTGTGTAGAAACACAAAGATAGAGTTAACATGATTTAGGTATGTGCTTTTAGCATCTTTCTATTCCTTCTTTTCACTTGTCCCCCAGCCCCCATTTCCTGTAAAAGGATATTTCTTTGTTTTGCCTCTACATTAGAGTATTTTACTTTTCTTAAATGAATATAATTTAAAAGCTGTTTTTCTCTCTAAAAATATACATACCAACATCCCACTCCATTGCTAGGCTTTGGGAGGAGACTTATGAGCGCTCCTTCCCCCATCCCTCCACACCCTGCTGAAACAGGAGAGTTCCCTTATCTCCCTCACAGGGCGTGTAGTGGCAGGGGTGTGGCCGGTTTCTTCAGTGCCCTGGTGCTCAAAGCCCTAGGGGCAACTTGCAGATGAGCAGATGGTGGGGAGTGTTTTTGGACTCCGACCCCATGGCAACATCTAGGGTTGAGTGTTCACAGCTCCTGAAGCCCCAGTGGGCGTGTGTTACAGTGTGCTCTTTCAGCCTTGCCATCTGCAGGTAGCTTGTGTTAATCAGCTCAATTAGACCCTCTTCCTTACCACAAGGACAGAGGGCTTTCTGTATCCTGGGTTCTTTCCCTTGTGTACTGGAAAAATCGGATCACACGGGGGCTTGGAGAATGAGTGCAAGATTTTATTGAGTGGTGAGGGTAGCTCCCAGTGAGATGGATGGGGAGCCAGAAGGGGGATGGGGTGGGAAGGTGCTCTTCCCCTGGAGTCGATCCTGCCCAGCGGCCAAACTCTCCTCCAGATGCCCCTGGCTGAATTGGCATCCACGTTGTTCGGCCATCACTGGCCTGCCGGTGTCTGCTGGTGTGTTCTTCTGCTCCTCTCAATGTCCAGCCGCCTGTGTGTGTGCCTGCTACGGTCCAGGGTTTTTATGGGCACAGGATAGTGGGTGTGGTGGGCGAAAAGGCAACATTTTGGGCACAGAAACAGAAATGCCTGTCCTCATTTAGGTCCGTGGGCACAGATCTGAGGGTGGAGCCCTCACCAGGGACCCCACCCTTCTCTACCCAGCACTTCCCTGCCCCCCGTCCGGTATCACTTCTAGAGTGAGGGAGATTGCTCTGTAAACCAGCCTAATTGCTCTCCAGGAAGCTCTAGCCTTGTGGTAAGCTCAAGGTTCCCTTTTGCAGTCAGTTTGAAATATGACACCCTGGTAAATTCTATGCTTCACTAAGGACATTACATTTCTCCCCAGAGTAGGAGTCCTGTGACCCTCGATCGTTTTAGTGCCAATACAGTGCCTTTGTGTGGTGGCTTCACCATCGCTAGCAAGGCCATATCAACCCTCTCTATGGCATAAACACATAGAGAGGGATGCATTATTGTTCCTTAGTTGGTGATTTTCAATGAGCAAATATAAGCATCCAGGACAGTTTATGTCCCCTTAGTATGTTACAAAAGACCTCTATTATTACCTAGAGCAGCGTGTGTTCTGCAGATAACCCATTCAGAGGGTTATTTTGCCAAAAAAACAAAACAAATCCTTCCTCAAATGTATTTGTGAAGTGTTGCAAGTTGCTGTCCTCAGAGTGATTTGATTACAAACAAAGGATCTCTGGCTACCAAGCCTGAGTGGAATTCTGTGGAAGGATATGTGGCAGCTCAGAGCACTGAAGGAGGCCTGAACCTCTAGGCCCTGGGAAGGAAGGGGAACCCCTTAGCAGGAATAAAGTAGTGATGCTTCATGGCCCTAAGTTTTACCTCTGTGTCCATCTGCTAAAAGTGGCACATTCCTCAGAGGGAGAACCTGATTTGCCTACACTGGGTCATTTTGAGACAGGCAGGCTGTCTGGTTTCCTGTTTTGCTGTGGTTTAGAGGAGAAGGAACAAGCCTCTTACCCAAGCTGTAGCTTACCCAACTTCCAGCCAATCAGCAACAAAAGACCCAAGAAGCCATTAACCTCAAGTCCCTGGTTTAGCGGGTTAGGGACTGCTCCAGGGTCCTGTCTGCGCAGTTCAACTTAAAGTTACCCCTCCCTCATTTTAATGCTAAAGATCATACCCAAGGATGGGGATTTAAAATTTCATTATGTTACATGAGATGTATGAAGAAACATGTAAGGCCACTATGCAAGCACCAGAGAAGCCCCTCCTATACATGCCCTGCTGAAACCCTTTCTTTCCCATAGAAAGGCCCTATAAAACTAATCTACATACTACCCTGAGGGAGCAGCCATATCTACTAGTTTAGAAAAGGGTGGTATGAACTGAACGCTCTGATAAAAAAAATCCCAGTGCAAGCAGCATTTTGCTCCCAAAAGGAAAAGTAGGGGTGATGAGGGAGGAACAGACATGCATGTATCACACACCTCCCTTTTGGAGTTTCACAATGCACATTTCCTCTGAATACTCTTGACAGTGAAGAAATCTGTTCAACAACATTTAACTTACCCCTTTTCATATTTTTTGTTTTTGTGTAGTATCTATTACCCTCAGAAGAAACTAGTACACCATTGTATACCCCCTGGAAATGCTGACATATCTCTTGGACATCACACTTTAATCTTTGATTGGATTCCTCCTATCTCTATATTGCTATTTCTTAATCCTTTGATAGGATTATCTTAACAGTGTCCCATTTTTAAAGATAACCACTATGGGTAATATGGGTGTTCATTTCTTAATCACTTTGAATTTAAAAAGTGTTTTTAAAGGTGCTGTTTGGGGGCCATCTGTCTTTCTTCCCTCCTCTGTGCCATTGTCCCGGTCTACGATGCTTCTCCCATTTCTGAAGTCCTTTGGAAAGTCGTTTGTACTCTCTGGCTCATCTTTGCACACTTCACTCTCAGCTTTGAGGCCATACACGAATATGGCTCCTGACAAAACCTTCTTTCTCAGGACTTTCTGTTTTTCTTGTTGTTGTTGACCTCGAACCCTTTCTTGCGTCTCAAGTGGACGTATTCTGTAAATACTGCCACTCACAGGGTGGCCCCCACTTGCCCTGCATCTCACTGCTGTCTCATTCTTTTGTGCATGTGTCACTTTACTTATTGATTATTTGATCTTTCTTCCATCCAGGGTACCTTAGATATACTTTTTCAGGTCGTTTCAGGATTTGACTTGTAATAGCAAATTCTGAGTTGACAGCAACTCTGGAAGGAGAGAGAGATGATTCACACAGATTATAACAGTAATAACTGTTTACCAGGTATGAGGCCATCCAGTAGTCTGGGGGATATAACTCAAAACACCAAATTTCAAAATACAGGCAAATGTGTGCATGACTAATGCTTGTTTAATGACTGCTTACTAATGCAATGGTTACTGTCAGGTGATCATCTAACTGGTAGGTAAGTGATGATCATCTTTTATGGGGGGGTTATTTACATCTATCAAGTTGTTTTCATAAGCCTTCCTTTAGGTTTCCTTTCTATCAGTTTCCCACAGCCCATCTCTCATTCTGCTCTTGTATTTCATTTCTTTTGCTTTAAAATTGGAAAGGGACAAAAATTGGCTTCAGAAAATGGACACCTGTTTTATTCCCTCTCTCCTCAAGGCCAAGATAGTTTATTACACTCTACCTTTTTATATTTATTTAACAAAACTCCTAGTAGCAATATAAGGAGAAAGAAAGATAAACCCTTCCAACTCTGGTTTTTGACAGTTTCTCAGTGACATTCTCTATTTATTATACAGTGATGGAGGATAGAATTGAAAGGACTTGCTTGAGTCCTGTCCCCTGGCTTTATGCCATGTATCTAATCTTTTCTAATAGACATCCAGGCTTTGTCTGAATCAGATCAGTAGACACAGTGTTTCAATGTCACTGTTGATGTTCCCTCTGTGGATCTTCTAATATGGTTCCTGACTTGAGTTTGGGAGATGGGAGGGGCTGCTGGAAGATCAGGGCAAACCAAAACTAGGTATGGAGAACTTGATACTTCTGAGTATTCTTTGTGACCCTTTAAACGAATGTCATTAATTTCCAATTCTAAATATCAACGATGGCAAACATTTACTGAGACCTTTCTGGGTTACAGTCATTGGGCCAAAACCATTACATTTATTTCACATTTAATATTCACAACCATCAAAATAGGTAGAAGTGGCAGAGACCACCAGTTGCCCCCACATATAGATTCCTCTCTTTTTCTTTTAATAGAGAAATGTGTCTAGTTATAGCTGGACATGTCAACAACCAGCAATAGACTACCTTTCCCCACGTTCCTTGCAGCTAATATAGACATATAACTAAATTCTCACCAGTGGCACGAGAGAAGGGATCTGTGCAGATTCTGGGTTATAACCTTAGAAGGAAAATGATCCTTCTCCTTTAATCACTTTCAGCCTAACAAAACACCCCAAAATGTAGTGGTTTATAACAACAATTATTTTTCAGTCATAATTATGCATGTTGGCAACTTGGGCTGGGATCAGCTGATGGATTGTTTTGGCAATAGCTAAATGTATTGATATGGTTTGACTGTGTCCGCACTCAAATGTCATCTTGAATTGTAGTTCCTGTAATGCCCACATGTCCTGGGAGGGTGCGAGTAGGAGGTAATAAATCATGGGGGTGATTACCCCCATACTATTCTTGTGATAGTGAATAAGTTCTCATGAGATCTGATGGTTTCATAAGGGGCTTTTACCCCTCTTCACTCTGAACTTCTCCTTGCTGCCACCATGTGAAGAAGGATGTGTTTGCTTCCCCTTCTGCCATGATTGTAAGTTTCCTGGGGAGGCCTCCCCAGCCCTGTGGAACTGCGAGACAATTAAACGTCTTTCATTTATGAATTACTGAGTCTCAGGTATATCTTTATTAGCAGCATAAGCACAAACTAATACAGTAAATTAGTACCACGTAGTGGGGAGCTGCTGTAAAGATATGCCGAAATGTGGAAGTGGCTTTGGAACGGAGTAACAGGCAGAGGTGGGAACAGTTTGGAAGGCTCAGAAGAAGATAGGAAAATGTGGAAAAGTTTGGAACTTCCTAGAGACTTGGAGGGCTCAGAAGACAGCAAGATGTGGGAAAGTTTGGAAATTCCTAGAGACTTGTTGAATGGCTTTGACCAAATGCTGATAGTGATATAAACAATAAAGTCCAGGCTGAGGTGGTCTCAGATGAAGATGAGGGACTTGTTGGGAACTGGAGTAAAGATCACTCTTGCTATGCAAAGAGACTGGCAGCATTTCGCTCCTGTCCTAGAGATCTGTGGAACTTTGAACTTGAGAGAGATGATTTAGGGTATCTGGCAGAAGAAATTTCTAAGTGGTTAAGCATTCAAGAGGAAGCAGACCGTAAAAGTTTGGAAGATTTGCAGCCTGGTGATGCAATAGAAAAGAAAAACTCTTTTTCAGGGCAGAAATTCAAGATGGCAGCAGAAATTTGCATAAGTAACAAGGAGCCAAAAGCTAATTGCCAGGACTACGGGGAAAATGTCTCCAGGGCATGTTAGAGACCTCTGTGGCAGACTCTCCCATCAAAGACCCATAGGCCTATAAGGGAAAAATGGTTACCTGGGCCAGGTCCAGGACCCCCTCCTTTGTGCCCTGCATCCCAGCCACTCCAGACATGGCTAGAAGGAACCAAGGTATAGCTTGGGCTTTGGCTTCAAGGGGTGCAAGCCTCAAGCCTTGGCAGCTCCCACTTGGTGTTAAGCCTGTGGGTGCACAGAAGTCAGGCATTGAGGTTTGGGAACCTCTGCCTAGATTTCAGAGGAAGTATAGAAATGCCTGGATGTCCAGGCAGAAGTTTGCTGCAGGGGCAGAGCCCTCATGGAGAAGCTCTGCTAGGGCAGTATGGAAGGGAAATGTGGGGTCAGAACCCCCACACAGAATCCCCACTGGTACACTGCCTAGTGGGACTGTGAAAAGACAGTCACTGTCCTCCAGACCCCAAATGGCAGATCCACTGACAGCTTACACCATCTTCCTGGAAAAGCCGCAGACACTCAGTGCCAACCCTTGAAAGCAGCCAGGAGAGGAGCTGTACCCTACAAAGCCACAGGGGTGGAGCTGGCCATGCCTGTGGAAACCTGCCTTATGTATTAGCGTAGATATGAGACATGGAGCCACAGGAGATCATTTTGGAGCTTTAAGATTTGACTGCCCCAGTGGATTTCAGACTTACATGGGGACTATAGCCCTTTAATTTTGGCCAATTTCTCCCATTTGGAATGGGTGTATTTACCCAATATCTGTACCCACTTTGTATCTAGGAAGTAACTAACTTGCTTTTGATTTTACAGGCTCACAGGTGAAAGGAACTTGCCTTGTCTCAGATGAGACTTTGGACTTGGACTTTTGAATTAATGCTGGAATGAGTTAAGACTTTGGGGGACTGTTGGGAAGACATGACTATGTTTTGAAATGTGAGGACATGAGACCTGGGAGGGGCCAGAGGCAGAATGATATGGTTTGGCTGTGTCTTCACCCAAATCTCATCTTGAATGATAGTTCCCCAAATCCCCACATGTCATGGGAGGGAGCCCATGGTTGGTAATTGAATCATGGGGTTGGTTACCTCCTTGCTATTCTCATGATACTGAGTGAGTTCTCACAAGATCTGATGGTTTTATAAGGGGCTTTCCCCACTCTTCACTCTGCACTTCTCCTTGCTGCCTCCATGTGAAGAAGAACATGTTTGCTTCCCCTTTTTCATGATTGTAAGTTTCCTGAGGCCGCCCCAGCCATGCTGAACTCTGAGTCACTTAAACCTATTTCCTTTATAAATTACCCAGTTTCAGGTATGTCTTTATTAGCAGTGTGAGAACAGACTAATACACGTATGCATCTGTGATCAGCTGTAAGATTGGCTGGGAAGTGACCATTGGCTGGGACAATGAAGGTTTGTTACTTAATTGAGAGAACTAACCTGGTCTTGCTTACACAGTGGCTGTCAAGATACCAAGAGGGCAAGGGAAGGGGTACAAAGGCTCTGGAGGCCTAGATTCAGAGCTCCTCACTTGTGCTGCATTCTCTTAACTGAAGTAATCATATGGCAAGGGCTGGGAAAGTAAAGTATTTATGGGAGTTGCTGTAAAGTCACACTGTGAAGGGCCATAGATACAAGGAAGAATGATGAATGGTGATCATTTTTATAATGTACCTTATCTTCTCTTCCATTATTCATTTTCCCACTAGTTGGTATATGTACATAATAATGACAGCAGTTTTTGACTAAAATATAGAAATTATATATTGAAAATGGCAGAGCAACACTCTGGTACCATAGAGCTGTTATATTAGAGTATTGTACTCAAAGTGTTATTTGAGAAATAAACTTCTATTTTGTTTTAGTCAATGTTATTTTATAGTCTATGCTATAGCAGCTCAACTGGAATCGGAATGATTACTATACCCATTTTGCAGATGATAAAATTGAGCTTTATAGAGACTAAGAAACATGTCCAAAGTCACCCAGCAGCTAGGCAGAAGTGGCTCCTTTTAATATAGGTTTGTCTGATTCCAGAGCTCATGCATTTTTAAGAGTTCTACACATTTAAATATCGCAATAATATTTACTTTTACTTATCTATAGGGAGTAAAGTTGAAAGATCCGTTTTTCATTTTTAGTAGGTGCTTATGACTTTTATCAGATGGGTACACTAAATTTAAGGTCTCAATCATTTACAGTTCAAAACATATTTGGTCTGTATAATTGAAAACATATATGTGTACTGGATATATATACACACAAATGCATTAAACATGTAAATATTAGTTATTTGGCCAGTCTGCTTTTGTACTTCATCCCTTAGGTGTTTATGTGGTATAATCAAGGCCAAACATGAATGGTCAGTGAACCAAAAGACAAAATATACAAAAGCTTAAATAATATTGAATGCTATTATAATTTACATCTCAGGCTGAGTATTACAAGAAATGGAAAGGCTCTGCATTGATCTAGTCTTGATACATACATTTCCAAAAAAAAAGAGAAAATGGCCAAGCATAGCAATCACACTCAGGTATTATGATATCCATAGTCAGGGACAACTTAAATATCTGGAACTAAATCATCTCTGGTTTGTATCTGTAATAGCATATTTCCCTAGTCTAATGAAGTTTAGCACTATATCACTTGCATAGGGATGTGTTGAAATTGATAATGAAAGCTCATTATTTGTTGAGGTATAATTTTTGTCTGGTCACAGGTAAAGGAAATTTGTGATCTAGAGTAACTGTTCACCAGTACTTTGCTTCCTCTTACCTTGGGCCATTGTGTTGTTATTTTGGTTTGCTCCAAAGACTGGAAACCAGGTATTTCTGTATTCAAGTGAAGGTTTTCCTATGTCAAGTTATTAGAGAGGGGAAAAAAAAGACTCAATGCTGCCTATGAAGAGAACTGAGAGTCTTCTACAATTTCTTTCAATCCTTGGTGTACATGATGAGCTAGAATAACCTAACTGAGCTGAATTATCCTTCCATGGTATGGTTCAGTGAATACCATTATATTTCAGCACAGCTTGAGTGATTTTTAATGCCAAAAACATCAGCAAGAAATACAAATGTTACAAAAATATTGAAACAATACCATAAAAAAGCCCAAGATCATAAATACTTTACTTTGCAAGGTCTCAGAGGTCAAAATAGCAATCCCATGGAAAATTAAAATGCTTTCTGTGCGAGAGTCTTTTAGGGGAAAAGACACACATACATACACATGGTAGCGGTTTACTATCAAAATGCACAAAATCATTTTCTGAATCTATTTTAGGCTTGATTAATAAAGAAAAAATAACTATTTTCCAGGAGAAAGAAAAACTTGTGAAGTTATTCATCTGCATGTTTCCTTATTTGGTTTTAATTACAATCTAATTAAAGGAGAATTACAGCCTGTGAAAGAGAGAGATGACTTTTATATGAATTATGTCCTTGACCACACAAAATAATATGGCATGCAGTTAGAAGTTTGCTGGGGATTTGGATATGGGCAGTTAAACTATCAAAAACGGTTGCTTAAGAACAGAGGCTTTAAATCTGAAAATTTCCTTTCAGTTGAGCACCCTTTGAGAGGCTGTGCTACAGGTGTGTGTAAAATGAGTTAGGAGAGAGGAAAAAAAACATCTTGCAAGATCTGTGCATGGAGATGTGCACGTCTTTATTCCTTATTCATCCTGTGGTACTCAGGTGCATGCCGGCTGCTAATAGATCTGGCCACAATGGGTCAAATCCTACTGTCCACTGATTTTCTGGGTAATGTGTCAGCTTCAATTTAAGTCAGGGAAGCCATAGAAAAAGAATCTAACCTGATATTTCTAATAAAGAGGAGTGGCCCAGATGCTTGGAAATACCAGCTTCGCAAAGAAAAATGGCTCTGTGTTATCATCTCGGGCATCTGATAATTTCAGAGACCTCAGTGTTCTGTCAAATGTCTTTCTGTGTGTCTCCTCCAGTATCTATTTGGGCTTCTTGTTCTCCATGTACATTTTAGGTAGCTTGCTTCATAGATTTTAAGTACTAGTGAGTTCTATCATTTTCTTTGTCTCATTTTTTAAAAAAGTATATCAAGGAGTACCAAAACAGTCCTATCTATATAGCCAATTAATTTTAGACAAAGGTGCTAAAGATCAATGGAGAAATAAGTATCTTTTCAAAATATGGTGCTAGAATAATAGGATATCTATGTGCTAAGAGAAAAAAAAAAGCCTGACTCACACCTTGCATCTTACATGCAAATAACTCAAAATCGTTCCTAGACATAAACTTAAAACCTAAAACCATAAAACTTTTATAAAGAAAAATAGAAGAAAATCTTTGTGATCTTGGCTTAGGCAAATATTTCTTAGGTATGACATCAAAACAATAATTAATAAAAGAAAAATGATAAATTGGACTTCATCAAGATTAAAAACTCTCTGTGAAAGACACTAAGAAAACAAAAATCTTTGGGCTGAGATAAATCATTGCAAAACACAAATCTGATAATGGATTTGTATTAGAAGTATGTAAAGGACTTCCAAAGTGCAATAATAGAAAACAGCCCATTTAAATATATGGGCAGAAGTTTTTAACAGACACTTCACCAAAAAAGACACATAGATAGAAAACAGGATCTAAAAAGATGTTCAACATCATTAGTCATTAGGGAAATACAAATTAAGACTACAACATGATAAGTGGTTGCTAAAACTGCTTAATCAAATTTGATAAAACCCAGTAATGGTGAGGATGCAGAAGAACTGGAATTCTCACATATTGCTGGTAGAATGAAAAATGGTATAGCCACTTTGGAAAATAGTTTGTCAGTTACTTATACAGTTAAAAACATACTGTATGGCCCAGAAATCTCCCTCCAAAATTCTTATATAAGAGAAATGAAAACTTATGTTCACCTTCAAACTTTTGTGTAATGTTTATATTGGCTTTATTAATGATTAACTAAATCTAGTAATAACGCCATGCCTTTAAACTGGTGAATTGATAAATTGTGTGATGCATCAATGCAATAGAATACTACTCAGCAATGAAAATCAATGAGGTATTGATACATGCACAATATCGATAAATCTCACATGCATTAAGCTAAATGTAAGGAAACAGACTCAAAAGATGACATACTGTGATTGCATTTATATTACATTCTGGAAATGCAAGCCTAGAAGACAGAAAACGAACCAGTTGTTGTCATTGGCTAGAGGCTAGGGAAAGGTAGGGAAGGGAGTGATTATAAAGGGACACAAAAAATTGAGGGGAGAGGTGGGACTGTACTATAGTTTGATTGTGTTGGAAGTTATACAACTATATGTGTTTTTCTAACTCATAGAACTTTACACTAAAAAGATCCAATTTTACTATGTATAAATTATAACCCAATAAACAAAGTATTTCAGGCAATTTCTTGAATCAATAATTAATCTTAATCATCATGATAGTAAAGAGTTCAGTCTATTATAATTTGTATTTTGCCAGATCACTAGTGGATTTTGATTGTTGAATGCCTTATTTGGGTCAAGAACATGTTTGCTTCTATTTGTCTTGGGAAGAAAGAGTGTCGAGGCATTGAGTGTGGGAAGAGGATATAACAGCAATTTTGTATTCCCTTTTTCCTTCCATGATTATGTTTTCAGTATACACAAAATAGTTAAGGTAGCCATTTTAATTCTCAGGAACTAATATCTAACTTATCCATATTCATGTGTGTGTGCATGTACACACACACACACATACACACACACACACACACACACACACACAGTAGAATCTTGAATTCATCTCCAGCATCATCTTCTGTTTCTACCACTTGTCCTCTATCAGTACTGAATAACTCAAATCCCTTAATGATCCTTACATTCCATGCTCTGTAAGTTTTTTTATTTGCTGGAGGTCTGCTTGGAATGCCTTGGCCCCACCATCTGCCTGGTGAGCTCCTCCTTATGTTTCAGGTCCTCATGGGAGCATCCTACCTCCTTGAGGAAGAGCCCCTGCACATTTCTTCTAGCCTATTGCCTTTCCTCCATGCTTTCACACATCATACTTTCATGTGGCTATTTGATTCCATGTCTCTGTTCTCTAGTAAACCATGGATTACTGGGTAAAACTCCTTGCTTTGTAACATTTTATGTGTCCTCAGCTCCTAGTGCAGTGCATAACATATAGAAAGTGCTCCGTGTATTTTCCTTGTGAACCAATAAACAACAGCAGACTTTTTTGAAAAAAAAGTTTGCCAATTGTTTTGAACATTAATATCTTTTAGTGTTTGCTTCCAAATTGAGTTGTAAATAAACATACTCAGACTCATCTTCTCTCACATGCACTCAAGGGATATGGGGGGTCTAATTTCTTAAAGATGTATTCTTTAATTTTAAATCCTAGTCTTCACATAAAATGAAAAAGCAAATATTAGTTTTGCTTTAGTTTAGGATAATAGGGATAGGGCCATGTTGCTCAGAACTAGCCCTATTTTTGTGGTGTTAGAACTTGGTTAACAACCTTCTGGAAAATATAAGCAATTGATCAGCATCTTTATTTATTTGTAATTCACAGAGCCTGGAAAAGCAAGAGATGTGGTGATTTACATTTCCATGTGAAACATGGAGTTTATTAACCATGGTCATATCATTATACGCTGCTTGTGAACAAAAGAAGTTCAACGTCCATTTTTGATGCGTGACCAAGTCTCATGAATGTACAAAAAGGTTGACAGCCCTTGACTGGTGGTTATTGCTAATTTAATAAGCAGTCTTCAAAGCTTTTGCAGATACAAAAGGATTTGATGTTACATATGTAATATGCAGCATGTGCAAAATACTTAATTCTAGTCACTTTGAAAGCTAGAGGACAGTCATTAAAATTTTATGGTGCAAATTAAAATTTAAGATTAAAATACAAGATCAAAAGAATCACTTTTTTTCCTCAGCACTATTAAGGATCAGCTTTTTGAATAGAGAGATTCAATGTTCAATGTCATGTCCTTTCCTTCTGGAGAACCAGATTAGAGCTAATCAGAAGCGACGAGAGAAACGTATCTTTCTGTATTATTTTTTCAATTGGGAACAATTTTTATTACTTTTTAATATATATGTAACTGTAGTCACAGGGTAGAAAATGTAAGTCAAATAAGAATGTAGATAATTTTGGAGAAGGAAGTGTGATGTGGGGAAAAATATTTGCATCATTGACACTGTTAAAACTGTGGAAAAGTGCATCATTTTATTGTAACACCTGTAACATGAATAAATACAGCCACAAGTTCACCTTCAATCTAGCCTATATAATTTTAAAAAATACCCTGATTGTGCTTTTGCATGATCCTTTTATAAATGGTCTAATAACTTGTAAGATGAGTTATGAGGAATGATTGGAACAATCAACAGCAAACCTCTTTAGTTTGCTGTTGTTTAGTGGTGGTAAGCTTACATCCTGAGACCTGGCCACATCTCACGCTACAGTGGAAGTGTTCAACATGGTCCAGGGCAGAAGGCTACAGGTGAATGAAAAACTTCCATCTCTACTGTACTAGTCTATTCTTGCACTGCCTTAAAGAAATACCCGAGACTGGGTAAGTTATAGAGAAAACAGCTTTAATAGGCTCATTGGTCTTCAGGTTGTACAGGAAGTATGCTGCTGGATCTGCTTGGCTTCTGGGGAGGCCTCAGGAAACTTACAATCATGGTGGAAGGCGAAGAGAGAGCCAGCATTTCACATGGCCAGAGCAAAATGAAGAGAGAAGGGGGAAGGTACCACACACTTTTAAGTGACCAGATCTCATGAGAACTCACTATCACAAGAACAGCACCAAGGGGGAAATCTGCCCAGAGGATCCAATCATCTCCTACCAGGCCCCACCCCCAACATGGAGGATTATGATTTAAAATGAGATTTGGGTGGGGACACAGACCCAAATCATATCACTTCTCACACTATAATGAAAGTGTTGAACATCGTCCAGGACAGAAGGCCACAGGTGAATGAAAACACTTCCATCTCTACTGAGTTGTCTCTTTGACCACTGTACAGGAACAAGTCGCGTATTTAAATCCGTTGTCTCACATGGGAAATTCTAAGAACAGCGTAAGTATAGTCGGGGGCAAAAAGCTTATAAAATTAGCCATGTTTAAAATTTAATACTAGTGAATAACTTTTATTTCACTGATGAAAAGAGGCAGTCATAACTAAAGCAACTTTTCCCCATTAATTGTAAAACGTTACTATTCTGAATATTCAAATATTTAGGTGTTTTTTACACTGAGGTTTTGAGAAGAGCTCATGATAAAGAAATACACTACTGTGGGCAACTTTTCTTAAACATAAACAGCTTACCTAGCCATAGGCAGAGCATAAATTCTTACCTTCACCATCATTCCTTTACTTGTTAAACAACAAAACAAAGTTTGAGTGCCCGCAGTCTGCTGGCACTGTACTTGACTATCCTCTTGTAGAAGTAGATGGCTGTATAATTTATTGTCTAAACCAGGACACTTTAGAGGGTGAAAGCATGTCTATTGATATGTTGTGCATAAACCAGTTGTATCCCAATAGGCATAAACCAGTTGTGTCCCAGACCAACCAGAATGTATGGTTTCTCAATGAATAATTATTGTGGTTCAGAAGTGAGCCTAAGGCACTGTTTGACCCTAAGATATGTTATATAATTAAAAATGTCACATTAGATTTAGTATGATTTAGATTTTAATACATGATAAAGCAGGTTAGCAGAGTGGTAGAGAGTTTGGCTCTGGAATCTTGGTTCAAATTCCAGCTTTTACAAATTATTAGCTGTGAAACCAGGGAGAAGTTGTTAACCCCATCAAGCCCCAGGATCATCATTTGTATTCTGGAGAGGATAAGAGAATAAGAACACACACACAGACACACATACACACACACACACACACACACACACACACACGTATGTTGCTATGTATAAGAACAAACTGAGAAATTCATGAAGCATGCTTGGCACAAAGTCTGCCACACAGGTAAATGTCCAATAGAAGGCTGCAACTAAGGCAGTATAAATTCAGTACAGGTTAGCAAATTGAAATGAGAATTAACTAAACCATTCTCAGGGCAACTATCTATTCAAGCCTGGTGCATGGAAAATAGTAGATACTTAACATGTTCTTGTTGAATAAAAATAAATAAAATGACAAAAATTTAATTGAAATGTTTCATAATTTTTAGCTATTCTAGAAGCATAAAAGTTTATTGGATATTTGCTTTTCAGTTTAAACATTCAAAACTGGTTTGAATATACGAAGCCCAGAATAAGAGATGATGATGTAGTGTTATTGCTCTAATTCAGTGGTTCTCAAAACTGGTTTTACATTAAAAATCACCTGGGGTACATTAAATATTGACTCTAGGACCAAATCCCCTAACTAGTTTAGAAGACTCAAGTGCTGCAGCTGCTCCCCAAAGTGTTCCCAAGCAATTTTAATATACAGCTAGAGTTAACAACCACTTCTTTAGGGTCTGTGCTGAGTAAATAAAGAATTGCATTTTACATTGGGTTCCAAATGAAAAGGCACCTGATATGGTTTGACGGTGTCCCCACCAAAAATCACATCTTGAATTGTAATCCCCGTAATCCCAGTAATCCCCACGTGTCAAGGGAAAGACCAGGTGGCAGTAATTAAATCATGGGGGCATTTCCCCTATGCTGTTCTTGTGACAGTGAGTGAGTTCTCATGAGATCTGATTGTTTTATAAGTGTTTGGTAGTTCCTCCTGCATTCGTTCTCCTCCTTGCTGTCTTGTGAAGAAGGTGCCTTGCTTCCCCTTTGCCTTTCACCATGATTGTATAAGTTTTCTCCCCTTTGCGTTTCACCATGATTGTTAGTTTCCTAAGGCCTCCTCATCCGTACAGAACTGTGAGTCAATTAAACCCAGATCTTTATAGCAGTTCTTTATAGCAGTGTGAAAATGGACTAATACAGCACCCAATACAAAATGCAATTCTTTATTGACTTAGCACAGACCCTACTTAATTCTTTATCTAGAGAATGAAACCAGCACAAAGAAAAGGGGTTGCATTGACAGAGGATTGAGAAATTATGGCCCAGAAGGAAATTCTTTGAAGAATTCAACAAAAAAACTTAGGAAGATAAGAAATTTGTGTCACAAACTCAAAGTCATATAAGATCGAAGTAGGTCAGATGGAAAGTTTATGTTCAAACAAAAGTGGTAAATTTTTTGCATTGTGGGAGTACTGTCATGTGGGCCTAGGTTTGCCAGATATTCAGATTTTACAAAAGGAGACAGAAAGACAGGTTTTCATGTGTCTTTTCTGATTTATAAGTATCAAATTATTATTTTTAACCACTTGGTGGTCTAAATACGTCTGTGGATTGTCTGGTTGTTGTGTTGTCTGTTGGTTTAATGCTAGGAGGCAGGAGTCTATGGCCAAAACAGCCTGTCATCTATTTTTTTACAGCCTGCCTGATTGGAATGGTTTTTATACTTTATCAATGATTTAAAAGAATCAAAAGAAGATTAATATTTCATGATGTAAAAATTATGTGAAATTTAAATTTCAACGTGAGACACAATCATATTTATTCATTTACATATTATCTGTAGCTGCTTTCATGCTACAAGTCCCGAGCTAGCTAGTTGCAAGAAAGGCTCTCTTCTCATCATGCTCCCTGTACTACAAGTTGCCATGTTGTATCTATAACTTGACAGCATTTCAAAATGCATATTATTCAATGTCATCTATATTTACGTTTCATTATCAGCACATACCTATTATGTTAAAACAAGAAAAGAAAAGTGAACTTCAAGTGTGTGGTAAGCTGGATATCTGAAAGGTGTCCATGTCCTAATTTATGGAACCTGTATATTACTTTATATATATACTTTATATAAAAGGGACATTGCAGCTATGATCAAATTCAGGATTTTGAGATGGGGAGGATATTCTGAGTTATCTGGGTATATCTGATATAATTACAAGGGTTGTTATAAGAGGGACATAGGAAAGTCAGACAGAAAGAGAAGGCAATATGATGATGAAAGCAGAGAGGGTAGTGATGCCAGACACAGGCCAAGGTAATCGAGCAGCCTCTAGGAGTGGGAAGACATAAAGAACAGATTTACCCTGGAGACTCCAAAAGAAACTAACCCTGCTGACATCTTGATTTTAGCCCCTGAGACTCATTTCTGACTTCTGACTCAAGAACTGTAGGAAAAAATATATTTGTGTTGTTTTAATCCACTAAGTTTGTGGTAATTCATTATAGCAGCCATAGGAAACTAACACAGAATTCCACAGTTTTGAAGCACAGTGGAGTGTGAATGATTTTATTATTGAATTAGAGGCCAAACATTGTGTTTATTATTCAATGACAATACAGATGTACTAAAAGACTATAATGAATAATAGCACTACCAGAACAAATGCTCATCATGATATTCCCAATGCACAGGAAAGCAATGGTCAAGAAGAATTTTAAAAAAACTAAAAAAAAAATCTCATCTGAACAGAAATTTTCACAACAATGAAAACAAAATGAAGTTGCAAGTAAAATAAAATTTTTATGAGTCATTTGTAAACTTAGCAAGAAAAGTCACTTACTGATGGTAAGTTAATTAAATTGTGTTTGGGGAAAATAAATTTGCTTATCACTATTAGTAAGTTTATAGTTTAGAGTCATAAACTAGTCAAAAGTTTCTCTCATTTGGTGAGAACAGCTGCCTAAAAGAGTTGAAGACATTTGGAACAATATTGCTATTTAATTAAAAAACAAGACGAACAATATTGAACACATTTCTTTGGTTATTAGCAAGTTGACAGATGTTACCATACTATTCAGCTATTTATCTGAAAAGTCAATACCAAGTTTTAGGAGACCGAAGAAATAGTTTGCGTGAAACATTTAAAGGAAAATAATTTTTCAAATAATTTAAGAAAATACTAACTCAGTACAAGCTGAAGTGGAATCTGCTAAGATGTGTTATTATATAAATGAAGGCAGCAAAAATAATACATGAAGAAGAAATAGATTTAATTAGACAAATTTACAAAGCTTCTGAAAATGTGAGATATTTAAAGCTATATTTGTTCATTGTATTATTAATTGGCAGGTATTTTGCAGAAAATATTTTGATTTATCGTGTCTTACTGAATTTATACTATCAATGGTGAATGTCACTCTAGTGAACTTAATCACTGTCAACTTTGTGAATAGATACTGAATACCCTGACTTGTCCTACCACAGCAGTCTGACAACTAACAGTAATAGTTTTCTTGCTATTACTTTATTTAATAACTTTATTACTATTAAAGTAATAGTAACTTTATTACTATCGAAAGTTTTATGAACAAAAAGAATCATTTTAAACTGTCATTATGCAACACTGCATGCTTTGAAAATTGATTTGCAGAGGGGCTAATGGCCAAATAGAAACAGCTCCAGTCTGCAGCTCCCAGCAAGACAAATGCAGAAGGTGGGTGATCTCTGCATTTCCAACTGAGGTACCCAGTTCATCTCACTGGGATTGGTTAGGCAGTGGATGCAACCCATGGAGAGTGAGCAGAAGCAGGGTAGGGTGTTGCTTCATCTGGGAAGTACGTGGAGCTGCTTCATCTGGGAAGTACCCCAGCCAGGGGAAGCGGTGAGGGACTGTGCTACCCACCCAGCGTACTGTGCTTTTCCCGTGGATTTTTGCAATCTGAGCCTATACCACCAGGGCTCTGGGTTTCAAGCACAAAATTGGGCGGCTATTTGGTCAGGCACTGAGCTGCAGGAGTTTTTTCAAACTCCAGCAGTGCCTGTAACTCCAGTAAGACAGGAGAACCTTACACTCTCTGGAAAGGGGGCTGAAGCCAGGGAGCCAAGAGGTCTTGCTCAGTGGGTCTCATTCCCACAGATCCCAGCAAGCTAAGAACCACTGGCTTGAAATTCTCACTGCCAGGACAGCAGTCTGGAGTTGGACTGGGACGATTGAGTTTGGTGCGGGGAGGGGTGACCACCACCATTACTGTGGCTTAAGTAGGCAGTTTTCCTCTGACAGTGCTAAGGAGACTGAGAGGTTTGGACTGGGTGGAATTCAACACAGTGCAGCAAATTGGCTGTGGCCAGACTGCTTCTCTTGATTCCTCCTCCCTGGGCAGGACATCTGTGCAGGAAATGAAATAGCAACTCCAGTCAGGGGCTTATAGACAAAACTCTCATCTCCCTGGGTCAGAGCACCTGAGGGGAGGGGCAGCTGTGGTCCAAGGTTCAGCAGACTTCATCTTTTCTGCCAGCTCTGAAGAGAGCAGCTGATCCTGACAAGGTGGATTCTCCCAGCACAGCTCACCAGCTCTGCTAAGGGACAGACTGCCTCCTCAGGCAGGTACCTGATCCCCATGCCTCCTGACTGGGAGAGACCTCCCAACAGGGGTTGACAGACACTCACACAGGGGAGCTCCGGTTGGTTATCAGGCCAGTGCCCCTCTGGGGCAAAGCTTCCTGAGAGAGGAGCAGGCAGCAATCTCTGTTGATCTGCAGCCTCCACTGGTGATACCAAGGTGAACAGGGCCTGGAGTGGACCTCCAGCAAACTGCAGCAGACCTCCAGAAGAGGGGCCTGACTATTAGAAGAAAAATCAACAAACAGAAAGCAACAACAACAACAACATCATCAAGAAAAAAGGCCTCCCATAAAACCCAATGTGAAGGTCATCAGCCTCAAAGATCAAAGGTAGGAAAATCCACGAAGATGAGGAAAAAGCAGTGCAAAAACACTAAAAATTCCAAAATCAGTGCAAAAATGCGAAAAATTCCAAAAGTCTTCTCCAAATGATTGCAACACCTCTCCAGCAAGGGTGCAAAACAGGATGGAGAATGAGATGGACGAATTCACAGAAGTAGACTTCAGAAGGTGGGTAATAACAAACTCCGCTGAGCTAAAGGAACATGTTCTAACCCAATGCAAGGAAGCTAAGAACCTTGATAAAAGGTGACAGGAACTGCAAACTAGAATAACCAGTTTAGAGAGGAGCATAAATTACCTGATGGAGTTGAAAAACAACACAAGAACTTCGTGAAGCATACACAAGTATCAACAACCAAATCAATCAAGTGGAAGAAAGGATATCAGAGTTTAAAGACCATCTTGTTGAAATAAGGCATGAAAACAAGATTAGAGAAAAAAGAATGAAAAGGAACAAAGAAAACCTCCAAGAAATATGGGACTATGTAAAAAGACCAAACCTATGATTGACTGGAGTACCTGAAAGAGACGGGGGGAATGGACCAAGTTGAAAAACACACTTCAGGATGTTATCCTGGAGAACTTCCCCAACCTAGCAAGACAGACCAACACTCAAATTTAGGTAATACAGAGAACACCACTAAGACACTCCATGAGAAGATCAACCCCAAGACACATAATCATCAGATTCTCCAAGGTCGAAATGAAGGAAAAAATGTTAAGAGAAGCCAGAGAGAAAGGTCAGATTACCTACAAGGGGAAACCCATTTGTAGGTAACAGGAGATCTCTCAGCAGAAACCCTACAAGCCAAAAGAGTGGGGGCCAATATTCAACATTCTTAAAGAAAAGAATTTTCAACCCAGAATTTCATATCCAGCCAAACGAAGCTTCATACACAAAGGAGAAATAAAGACCTTTCCAGACAAGCAGATACTAAGGGATTTCATCACCACCAGGCTTGCCTTGCAAGAGCTCCTGAAGGAAGCACTAAATATGGAAAGGAAAAACTGGCACCAGCCACTGCAAAAACCCACCAAAGTATAAACACCAATGACACTATAAAGAAACTGCATCAACTAGTGTGCAAAATAACCAGCTAGCATCATGATGACAGGATCAAATTCACACATAAGAATATTAACCTTAAATGTAAATGGGCTAAGTGTCCCAATTAAAAGACACAGACCAGCAAATTGGATAGAGTCAAGACCCGTCAGTATGCTGTATTTAGGAGACCCATCACATGTGCAAAGACACACAAGGCTCAAAATAAAGGGATGGAGGAAAATTTCCCAAGCAAATGGAAAGCAAAAAACAAACAAACAAAACAAACAAAAAAGCAGGATTTGCAATCCTAGTCTTTGATGAAATAGACTTTAAACTGACAAAGATTAAAAAAAAGATAAAGAAGAGTATTACATAATGATAAAGGGATCAGTGCAACAAGAAGAGCTAACTATCTTAAATATATATGCACCCAATACAGGAGCACCCAGATTCATAAAATAAGTTCTTAGAGACCTACAAAGAGACTTAGACTCCAACACAATAATATTGGGAGACTTTAACATCCTGCTGTCAATATTAGACAAATCAATGAGACACAAAATTAACAAGGACATTCAGGATCTGAGCTCCTCTCTGGACCAAGTGGACCTAATAGACATCTTCAGAACTCTCCATCCCAAATCAACAGAATATACACTCATCTCAGTGCCACATGGCACTTATTCTAAAATTGACTGCGTAATTGGAAGTAAAATACTCCTCAGCAAATGCAAAATAAGAGAAATCATAACAAACAGTCTCTCAGACCACAGTGCAATTAAATTAGGACTCAGGATTAAGAAACTCTCTCAAAATCACAAACTACATGGAAATTGAATAACCTGCTCCTGATTGACTCTTGGGTAAATAATGAAATTAAGGCAGACATCAAGAAGGTCTTTGAAACCAATGAGAACAAAGAGACAATGTACCAGAATCTCTGGGACTCAGCTAAAGCAGTGTTAAGAGGGAAATTTATAGTACTAAATGCCCACATCAGGAAGCTGGAAAGTTCTCAAATCGACACCCTAACATCACAATTAAAATAACTAGATAAGCAAGAGCAAACAAATCCAAAAGCTAGCAGGAGACAAGAAATAACTAAGATCAGAGCAGCACTGAAGGAGATAGAGACATGAAAAACCCTTCGAAAAATCAATGAATCCAGGAGCTCGTTTTTTGAAAAAAATAACAAAATAGATAGACTGCTACCTATCTAGAAGAAAAGAGAGAAGAATCAAATAGACATAATAAAAATGATAAAGGGGATATCACCACTGACACCACAGAATTACAAACTACCATCAGAGAATTCTATGAACACCTCTATGCAAATAAACTAGAAAATCTAGAAGAAATGGATAAATTCCTGGACACATACATCCTCCCAAGACTAAACCAGGAAGAAGTCAAATCCCTGAATAGACTGATAACAAGTTCTGAAATTGAGGCAGTAATTAATAGCCTACCAACCAAATAAAGCCCAGGACCAGACAGATTCACAGCTGAATTCTACCAGAGGTACAAAGAGGAGCTGGTACCATTCCTTCTGAAACTATTCCAAAAAATTGAAAACGAGGGACTCCTCCCTAACTCATTTTATGAGGCCAGCATTATCCTGATACCAAAACCTGGCAGAGACACAACAATAAAAGAAAACTTCAGGCCAATATTCCTGATGAACATCCATGCGAAAATCCTCAATAAAACACTGGCAAACCAAATCCAGTAGCACATCAAAAAGCTTATCCACCATGATCAAGTCCACTTCATCCCTGGGATGCAAGGCTGATTCAACATACGCAAATCAATAAACATAATCACATAAACAGAACTAATGACAAAAACCACATGACTATCTCAATAGATGGAGAAATGATCTTCGATAAAATTCAACATCACTTCACGTTAAAAACTTTTAACAAACTAGGTATTGATGGAACATATCTCAAAATAAGAAGAGATATTTATGACAAACCCATAGCCAATATCATACTGAATAGGCAAAAGCTGGAAGCATTATCTTTGAAAACCATCACAAGACAAGGATGCCCTCTCTCACCAGTCCTATTCAACACAGTATTGGAAGTTCTGGGCAGGGCAATCAGGCAAGGGAAAGAAATAAAGGGTACTCAAATAGGAAGAGAGGAAATCAAATTGTCTCTGTTTGCAGATGGCATGATTCTATATTTAGAAAACCCCATTGTCTCAGCCCTAAAACTCCTTAAGCTGATAAGCAACTTCAGAAAAGTCTCAGGATACAAAATCAATGTGCGAAAATCACAAGCATTCCTGTACAGCAACAATAGATGAGCAAAGAACCAAATCATGAATGAACTCCCATTTACAATTGCTACAAAGAGAATAAAATATGTAGAAATACAGCTTACAAGGGATGTGAAGGACCTCTTCAAGGAGAACTACAAACCACTGCTCAAGGAAACAAGAGAGGACTCAAACAAATGGAAAAATATTCCATCCTCATAGATAGGAGGTATCAATATCATGAAAATGGCCATACTGCCCAAAGTAATTTATAGATTCAATGCTATTTCCATCAAACTACCACTTACATTTTTCACAGAATTAGAACAAAACTACCTTAAATTTCACGTGGAACCAGAAAAGTGGGCAAAGGATATGAACAGACGCTTCTCAAAAGAAGACATTTATGTAGCCAACAAACATATGCAGAAAAGCTCAACATCACTGATCATTACAGAAATGCAAATCAAAACCACAGTGAGATACCATCTCATGCCAGTCAGAATGCCGATTATTAAAAAACCAAGAAACAATAGATGTTGGCGAGGCTGTGGAGAAATAGGAATGCTTTTGCACTGTTGATGGGAGTGTAAATTAGTTTGACCATCGTGGAAGACAATGTGGTGATTCCTTAAGGATCTAGAACCAGAAATACCATTTGACCCAGCAATCCCATTACTGAGTGTTTACCCAAAGGAATATAAATCATTCTACTATAAAGACACATGCACACATATGTTTGTTGCAGCACTATTTACAATAGCAAGCATATGGAACCAACCCAAGTGTCCATCAATGATAGACTGTATAAAGAAAATGTTGTACATCTACACCATGGAATACTGTGCAGCCATAAAAAAGAATGAGATCATATCATTTGCTGGAAGATGGATGAAGCTGGAAGCCATCATCCTCAGCAAACTAACACAGGAACAGAAAACCAAACACTGCATGTTCTCACTCATTAGTGGGAGTTGAACAGTGAGAACACATGGACACAGGGAGGGGAACAACACACATTGGGGTCTCTCGGGGGTCAGGGCCAAGGGGAGGGAGAGCATTAGGCCAAATACTTAATGCATGTGGGGCTTAAAACCTAGATGACAGGTTGATGGGTGCAGCAAACCACTATGGCACATGTATACCTGTGTAACAAATCTGCACGTTCTGCACATGTATCCCAGAACTTAAAAAAAAAGAAAGAAAATTAATTTTCTTTTGCTGAAGACTTGATAATATTGTATAATGAACTAAACCAAAAATTACAAACCAAAACAGTGCTTATATGTGAAATTTATAATGCAGCAAAGATATTTTTATTACTATTATTGTTAAAATGAAAATATTAATGTTATTTAATTATAACATTACTATTTAATAGTAATGTCAAGCTGCTTTATACACGTCTTCTGCTAAAAGTTAAATGGTTAGCCAGGCGCAGTAGCTCATGCCTCTAATCCCAACACTTTGGGAGGCCAAAGCATAAGAATCACTTGAGCCCAGTTGTTAAACACCAGGGTGGACAACATAAAAAGATCCTGTCTCTACCAAAAATTAAAAAAAAAATTAGGTGGTCATAGTGGTGTGTGCTTGTAGTTGCAGCTACTCCAGGGACTGAGGTGGGAGAATCCCTTAAGCCTGGGAGTTGTGCAATCAGGGCTGCAGTGAGTCCTGATTGCGCCACTGCACTCTGGTCTGGGTGACAGAGATCCTGTCTGTCTCAAAATAAATAAATAAATAGTTAAATGAAGAAAGATCTTCACCACACTAATTTTAGCAGATACATTTTTTAAATGTGGATTATAGTTTTAGCTGCATTTTTCAGACCTCAAAGGGAATTTTCATATTTCAAAATACGTTTAACTGTACAACTGAGGCGCTTCTACCTATCCTTAAATTGGAAGTAATTAATCTACTTTGTAGTGATATGCTGAAGGGCAAATATCAAAGAAAAGAATCTAATAGAATCTACAAATGCCTTCCCAATAATGAATATACTCAATTAAAATTATATGCTGATGAATTAGCATCAGTACTTGGCAATACTTTTCTATGGGAAAAAGACGTTTTTAAAGATGAAAGCGGTAAAATCTCATTACATATCAGCATTAACAGATGAACATTTATAGCTGGTTTTGATTATAGGGAATACTAACTTTGAACTTTATTTAAGTGAAATGTTATTCTCCCACCAAAAAGAAAAAAAAAGAATTCAATTCATTAGTAGACATCTATTACTGAAAACATATTCAATCACTATTATTTTTTGACTTTTTTCTTTATCTTTTTTTGAGCCAGAGTCTCACTCTGTCACCCAGGCTAGAGTGTAGTAGTGTGATCTTGGATCACTGCAACCATTGCCTCCCAGGTTCAAGCAGTTCTCCTGCTTCAGCCTCCCAAGTAGCTGGGATTGCAGGTGCCTGCCACCACGCCCAGCTAATTTTTATATTTTTAGTAGAGACGGGGTTTCACCATGTTGGCCAGGCTGGTCTCGAACTCCTGACCTCACGTGATCCTCCCGCCTCAGCCTCCCAAAGTGCCGAGATTACAGGCATGAGCCACCATGCCCAGCCTTTGAGTTTTTTCAGTAAGAATGTGTGAAAAATTGTTTTTTTTCCTTCTGTTGTTACATAACTACCTAAGTAGTGTCCTCAGTTTTGCCTCTTAGTTTACAAAGCCTGAAATATTTATAGACATACCTCATCTTATTGCACTGCATTTTATTACCCTTTACAGATGTTGCATTTTTATAAATTGAAAGTTTGTGGCAACCGTACATCAAGCAATTCTATTAGTATCATTTTTCCAAAATCTCCTGTATCACATTTTGGTGATTCTCACAATATTTCAAACTTTTTCATCGTTATTATATCTATTATGGTGACTTGTGATCAGTGATCTTTGATGCTACTATTGTAATTATTTTGAGGTGCTACAAGCCATGCCCGTATAGGACAGTGAACTTAATAGATGAATGTTGTGTGTATTCTGACTTCTCCACCAATCAGCTATTTTGTTGTTGCTCTTCCTCTCATTGAGGCTTCCTTATTCCATACAGACACATCAATATTGAAATTAGGCACATTAATAACCCTACAATGGCCTCTAAGTTTTCAAGTGAAAGCAAGAGTCGCATGTCTCTCACTTTTAATCCAAAGCTAGAAATAATTCAAGTTAGTGTGGAAAACATGTTAAACGCTGAGATAGCGGTCAACGATAATTTATTGTACATTTTAAAATAGCTAAAATCGTATCATTGGAATGTTTGTAACACAAAGAAATGATAAATTCTTGGGGTGATGGATACCCCATTTACCCTGATGTAGTTATTATAATACATATTGTTTGCCTGTATTAAAATATCTCATGTACCTCATAAATATATACACTTACTGTGTACCCATAAAATTAATTAAAAAAAAAAGTCGAAATAAGCTGAAAGGTAGGCCTCTTGCACCAAATAGCCAAGTTGTGAATGCAAAGAAAACGTGCTTAAAGGACTACTCCAGTGAACACAGGAATGATAAGAAAGCAAAACAGCCTGATTGCTGATGTGGAGAAAGTTTGAGTGGTCTGGATAGAACTTCAAACCAGCCACAACATTCCCTTCAGCCAAAGCTTAATCCAGAGCAAGGCCCTAATTCTCTTCAATTCTATGAAGACTGAGGGAGGTGAGCAAACTGCAGAAGAAAATTGTGAAGCAAGCACAGGTTGGTTCGTAAGATTTAAGGAAAGAAGCCATTTCCATAACATAAAGTGTAAGGTGAAGCAGCAAGTGCTAAACGTAGAAGCTGCAGCAGGTTGTCCAGAAGACCCAGTTAAGATCACTGATTAAGGTGGTTACAATAAACTACAGATTTTCAAATGTAGATGAAACAGCCTTCTATTCAAGGAAGATGCCATCTAGGACTTTCAGAGCTAGAGAGGAGAAGTCAATGCGTGGCTTCAGAGCTTCAGAGGATAAGCTGACTCTCTTGTTAGGGGCTAATGCAGCTGATGGCTTTAAGTTGAAGTCAGTGTTCACTTACCATTTGGAAAGTTCTTGGGTCGATACAAATGATACTAAATCTACTCTGACTGTGCTCTATAAATGGAACAACAAAGCATGGATGACAGCATATCTATTTATAGTGCATGGTTTACTATTTTAAGCCCGCTGTTAAGACCTATTGCTTAGAAAAATGATTTCTTTCACAACATTACTGCTCATTGACAATGCACCTGGTCCCATGAGCTCTGATGGAGATATGTAAGGAGATTAATGTTGTTTCCATGCCTGTTAACACAACATCCATTCTGCAGCCCACGGATCAGGAATAATTTTTATTTTCAAGTTTTATTATCTGAGAAATACATTTCATAAAGCTGTAGGTACCATATATATTCATTCCTCTGATGGATGTGGGCTAAGTAAATTGAAAATCTTCTGGAAAGAATTCACTATTCTAGATGACATTAAGAAGACTTAGGATTCATGGAAGGAAGTAAAATATTAACAGGAGTTTCAAAGAAGTTGATTCCAACTTTCATGGATGGCTTTGAGGGGTTCAAGACTTCAGTGGAGGAAGTCACTGCAGATGTGGTAGAAATAGCAAGAGATCTAAAATTAGAAGTGGAACCCGAGGATGTGACTGATTTCTGAAACCTCATGATAAAACTTTAAAAGATGAGGAGTTGCTTCTTATAGATGAGAAAAGCAAGTGGTTTCTTGAGATGGACTCTACTTCTAGTGAAGATGCTGTGAACATTGTTACAAGGACAGCAAGGAGTTTAGCATATTACATAAACTTAGTTGAAAAAGCAAAAGTGGATTTTGAGAGGATTGACTCTAATTTTGAAAGAATTTTTTCTGTGGGTAAAATGCTATCAAAAAACAGCACGTGCTACAAAGAAATTTTTCATGAAAGTGTCAATCAACCCAGTGAGTTAGCAAAACAATGTACTTCTCTTCTCTGTTTCATTTTCCTGCTTCTCTACCAGTACCTCTGGAATCATCTCCCAAATAAACTACTTGTTCTTGAACCCTTGTGCCAGGGTCTTTGACAATTCACATAGATAGTGATCACATAAAATCCACTTTGAAATATTTTTACAAAATAGTTATCTTCTAAAGAAAATGAGGAAAACAATCCTGTTTACAATAGCATCAAAAAGAATGAAATACTTAGAAATAAACTTAACCAAAAAGCAAAAGGCTAGTACACTGAAACTACCCAACGTTGTTAAAAGAAATTAAAGACAACTCAGATAAATGGAAAGATATTGCTTGTTATGGATTGTAAGCTTAACATTGTTAAAATGTCCATACTGCTCAAAGAAACTTATAGATTTAATGTAATCTTTATCAAAATCTCAATGACATTTTTGCAGAAATAGAAAAAACCATAATAAAATTTATATGGCATCTCAAGGGACTCTGAATCATCAAGCAATATTGAAAGTGAAGAGCAAAGTAGGAAGCATTATAATTTCTGATTTCAAAACATATTACAAATCAACAGTAATCAAAAGAGTGTGGTACTGGCATAAATTCAGACATATAGACCAGTAGAAAACATTAGAAAGTCAAGAAATATCCACACATATCTGCTGAAATGGTCTTTGATATGGATGCCAAGAGTACACAGTACAGAAAGGGAACTCTCTTTACCAAACGATAATGGAAGAACTGCATTTCCACATACAATATAATGAAGTTTACCTTTCATTAGTGATGTTGGGAATTTTTTTATATGCTTATTAGCCATTTGTGTATCTTCTTTGAAGAAATATCTATTCAAGTCCTTTGCCTATTTTTTAATGGAATGTACAGTTTTTGTATCATTGTTATTGTTTTGAGACATCTTGCTCTGTCACCCAGGCTGGAGGGCAGTGGCACAGTCACAGCTTACTGAAGCTTCTTCAGGCTCAAGGGATGCTCCCACCACAGCCTCCCAAGAAGCTGGGACTACAGGCTTGTGCCACCATGCCTGCCTAGATTTTTATGTTTT